>NC_000023.11:1726351-1949345 GCF_000001405.40 Homo sapiens | reverse complement strand
GATCTTGGTTCTTGTTATGACTGGCACAACTACGTAGGAACAATCTGAATGGGAGATAGCTTTTTGTGGGACACCACAAGGAAATTGTATATTCTATGACACAAGCTCACAACTCCCTGCTTTCCACTGCAAGCGGTGGCTCATTACTGGCTGGGACGTATCCTTGGATTAATGTATGCACGCCTCTCTTCCTTGTTTCAGAGAACCATAACACCCTGAGTGCAGAACCCCTGTAATTAGAGCTGTCGTTGTTGCCTCCCCACAGCAAGAAAGCTTTTGCAAGTTTAATCTCATCACTGAGAAAGCTTTTAGAGACTTCAAAGAAAGTATTTGATGCTGGGCTTTTCCTTCCACCCAGTGAAAAATGTGTCGAAGGAAACGTAACTAAGTTTTAAATATTCCCCTCCTTTTTTGTGTGTGTGCGGTTTTGTCATTTATTGTGTAGCATAAGTCTACAACTGTTTATTTATTTTGTTGTTTGGTAATTATATTATTCCATAAGCCTTTTCACAATCAATGAGCTATAAAGATGAAAGTGTATCCAATAAAAACTAAGCTTCCTTAAAAAAAAAAAATCTGACCTACTAGGTTTGTCTCTTAAAGACTATCCTCTCTTTCATTTTACTTGTTACTGCTTACTTGGCGATTTCTTTTGGAGAAGGTCTAGACTTGGTCAGATTGGATTTTAGAAATTGTACCATTTGATACTCCTTCTTCTCCTCTTCCTCCTTCTCCTTTTCCTTCTACTCCCTCTCTTTTTTCATCTTTTCTTGTTCTCCTTCTTCATTTACTATTTCTCCTCCTCCCACTGTCTGTCCTTGTCCTCCTCCTCCCTCCTCCTTCTACCCTCTCCTCCCCCTCCTCTTCCTCCTCCTCCCCTCTCTTCCTCCTCCTCCCTTCTCCTTCTCCTCCTCCTCCTCCTGTCTCCTCCTCCCCTCCCTCCTCCTCCCCTCTCCCCTCTTCCTCCCCTCTCCCCTCCTCCTCCCCTCTCCCCTCCTCCTCCCCTCTCCCCTCCTCCTCCTGTCTCCCCTCCTTCTCTCTCCTCCTCCCCCTCTTCCTCCTTCTCTCCTTTCCTCCTCCTCCTCCCCCTCTTCCTCCTTCTCTCCTTTCCTCCTCCTCCTCCCATCTCCTCCTCCCCTCCTCCTCCTCTCCTTTTCTCTTCCTCCTCCCTCTCCTCCTCCTCCTTCTACCCTCTCCTACCACTTCTCTTTTTACTCCTCCTCCTTCTCCCCCTCCTCCTTCTCCTCCTCTTTCTTCCTCCCCTCTCCTCCTCCCCTGTCTTATTCCTTCTTCTCTCCCTCCTTCTCTCCACCTCTTTCCTTTCCCTGCTCAGCCACACACACATACACCATAGCTTCTGGCTGTCTTCCCTTTCCTTCCAGGTTCCAGTAAACATCCACTGATTCAAGAGAGAGGCTAAACAAGAACAATTTCTTTGAGCAACTTGGCCAGATGCTGAATTCTTAGTGGCTGATTCCCCTGGGACTCAGGTCCTTCCCCTACCTTCTGCACCTATCTTTTCCTGAGAAAACAGTCAGTGACCAGGCTCTGCTCTGCACGGAGCCCTCAGATAATGTCTGCTAAACGTCTCCTTGAGGAGTGTGATGTTGCAGGTGAATTCAGCATCTGGGAGGGTGAAGCGCGTGTGTCATTAAAATGCAGCCACATGGTGGTGGACCCTGGACCAGGACTAAAATAGCTCCTCGCTCTGCCCACTTTTTTTATCCTTTCCCTGGTGTGTTCCGGCTGGCAGTCCTCACCATACGCTAATCAGCAGGTCAGTTACACTGATGTCCAAAAACCTGGGCTTTGAGCGATGTACATGCTATGTGTGCATATATATATATATATATATATATATATATATATATGTATATATATATATATATATACATACACGGAGGTTACAAAGGCAACCAACCACAGACGGTGCCCATTGCTGGTTCTCCAGGTGACCCAGGTACATGTCCCTGAGTTTCATCTCTTTCCTTTCGAGAATTTAGTCAGGATGTCACGTTCACCAGACTTGACACAGCAGCTGTGGCTTTTTCAAAGGGCAGCTCCAAGTCCAGATGGAACCGTAAAACAAGACACGAAAAACGTGATTAAAGAACGTACGCGTTAGAGTTCGCATGGCATATATATACATAAAATAATAGAAAATAAAAAATTATAAATATTTTATATTCATAATATAAAATATATATTTCCTGTGTGTACATTATATATAAATATTACAAATATATATAAAATATATTTAATATATTATGCATATATAATAATAGTTATAGTTAATAAATTAACTATAAAATATGTATATTATATTACATATGTATTATATATATTTATATTACATATGTATTATATATTATATTTATAATATATTTATTTATAATATATTAATATTATATTACATACTATTAATATATTATATATTCTATAATATATTTATATAAATATATTTATATATAATTTATATTATATATTTATATATTTATATATAATTTATATTATACAATACATATATATTTATATTATATATTTTATATAGTATACATATATAATATATAAACATATTATATATTTATATATTAATAAATATATAAAAATATATATTAATGTATAATGTATATTAATATATAAATAAATATGTATTATATATTATATAACATATAATATAATATATAATATAATATATAATATAATATAATATATAATGTAATATATAATATAATATAATATATAATATAATATAATATATAATATAATATATATTATATATAATTTTTAATATTGCTTATGTTATATATTGTATATTATATTATATAATATATTACATATATAATGTTTATATATGTTATATTAGAAAAATATTTTATATATACACAGACACAGGAAATATATATATTTATTTCTACAGGTATACATATAGAAAAATACAACTCCTTTTTTAGACATTGTTTAACTTTTAAAAATGATTATATTATAGATGTTTTGTATTTTATGTTAAAATTGAATTAATTTATTTATTCATTTTGAGATAAGGTCTTGCTCTGTCACCCAGGCTGGAGGGCAGTGGCGTGATCATAGCTCCCTGCACCCTTGAACTCCTGAGCTCAAGCAATTCTCCTGCCTCGGCCTCCCAAGTAGCTGGGAATACCGGTGCGCACCACCGCACCCAGCTAGTGTTTAAAAAAATGTTTTCATAGCAATGAGGTCTACCGTATCTTGCTCAGGCTGGTCTCGAACTCCTGTGCTCAAGTGATCCTCCTGCCTCAGCCTCCCAAAGTCCTGGGATGACAGACATGAGCCACTGCACCCGCCCCCGTTTTAAATTTCAGATGAAGGGGTGTGTGTGCAGGGGTGTGACTTAGGTATATTGTGTGATGCTGAGGTTTGGGCTTCTAATAATCCCAACACCCAGGTAGTCAGCGTACCCCCCAGTTGGTAGTTTTTGAACCCTTACTGCTCTCCATCCACACTCCTTTTGAAATCCCTAGTGTCTGTTTTTCTCATCCTTCTATTCATTTTTATTTATTTATTGAGATAGTGTCTCGCTTTGTCTCCCAGGCTGGAGTGCAGTGGCGTGATCTTGGCTCACTGCAGCCTCTGCTTCCTGGGTTCAAGTGATTCTCCTGCCTCAGCCTCCCAGGTAGCTGAGATTACAGGCACCCGCCACCATGCCCGGCTAATCTTTTGTAATTTTAGTAGTGATGGGATTTCACTATGTTGGCCAGGCTGGTCTTGAACTCCTGGCCTCAGGTGATCCACTCGTCTTGGCCTCCCAAAGTGCTGGGATTAAAGGTGTGAGCCACTGAGGCTGGCCGGAAATCTTTCTTTCTTTCTTTCTTTTTTTTTTTTTGAGACGCAGTTTTGCTCTTGTTATCCAGGCTGGAGTGCAGTGGTGCAATCTTGGCTCACTGCAGCCTCTGCTTCCTAGGTTCAAGCAATTCTCCTGCCTCAGCCTCCCCTCCCAAGTAGCTGAGATTACAGGCACACACCACCACGCCCAGCTAATTTTTTGTAATTTTAGTAGAGACGGGATTTCACTATGTTGGCCAGGCTGGTCTTGAACTCCTGGTCTCAGGTGATCCACTCGTCTTGGCCTCCCAAAGTGCTGGGATTAAAGGTGTGAGCCACTGCGCCTGGCCGGAAATGTTTCCCTTTTTAAATTTTATTTATTTATTTATATTTTGAGACGGAGTTTTGCTCTTGTTACCCAGGCTGGAGTTCAATGGTGCAATCTTGGCTAACCGCAGCCTCTGCTTCCTGGGTTCAAGCAATTCTCCTTTCTCAGACTCCCAGGTAGCTGGGATTCCTGGACCTGCCACCATGCACAGCTAATTTTTGTATTTCTAGTAGAGACGGGGTTTCATCACGTTGGCCAGGCTGGTCTCGAACTCCTGACCTCAGGTGATCCACCCACCTCGGCCTCCCATAGTGCTGGGATGTCAGGCGTGAGCCACCATGCCCCACCTTTGCGTTTCTAACTCTGTCTCGGTGTCTGCATTCCAGAACCCCCCAAGAAACACAGACCCGCTTCATAGACTTATTTTGCCACTTATACGTCTTATTTACTGACAAGTCCTTTCAGCTCTATTTCCTAATTTTTATCGGGTCAGGTGCCATCTTCGTATGACTTGTAACTATGCTTCCTAAATGTTGGCCACAAGTCCTTTAGGAGATATATGTCTTCCCAATAGTTTCTTACATTCTGTGGCTTGTCTTTTCACTTTCTTCAGAGTATTTCTTTTTTTTTTTTTTTTGCGACTTTTCCTCCCTCACTGCAAAACATCAGGCCTATGTAGGTACCTTATAAGCCGTAAAATTGCTTTATCTGAATTTTGCAATCTAGATTTTGGTTTTGACCATGAAAAAAAGACTCGTTGGCTGGGCGTGGTGGCCCAACACCTGTAATCCCAACACGTTGGTAGGCCAAGGCGGGTGGATCACAAGGTCAGGAGTTCAAGACCAGCCTGGCCAATATGGTGAAACCCCGTCTCTACTAAAAGTACAAAAAATAAAATAAAAAATTAGCCTGGCATGGTGGTAGGTGCCTGTAGTCCCAGATACTCGGAAGGCTGAGGCAGGAGAATCGCTTGAACCCGGGCAGTGGAGGTTGCAGTGAGCCGAGATGGCGCCACTGCACTCCAGCCTGGGCGACAAGAGTGCGACTCCATCTCAAAAAATAAAAATAAAAAAGAATTGTCTTAGTCGCTTGGCCTCCTGTAGAAGATATCATCGTTAAATGCAATCCATCATTCTTTTTGAGATCATAGATGCAACAGCACACCATGGTTTTGTGGTTTACATTTAAGTCCATGATTTATTTTGAGTTAATTTGTATAAAAGCTATGAGGTTTAGGTTGCGATTCATTTTTTGATGTTGTTCGTCATGTCTCCTTGCTCCAGAAATTTCAGTGAAATGGATATTCCTCTTCCATTAAATTACTTTTGCTCCATTCTCAAACATTAGTCGGACATCATTGCAGGTATCTGTTTCTGGGTTCTCTATGCTGTTCCATTTATTTATGTGTCTTATCTTTGTTCAGTGCCATACTCTCTCCATTTTATCCCAGCAATATAGTAATCCCAAAGAGTGTGTGATTTCTGTCACTTAATTCTTTCTCAAAATGGTTTCAACTCTTACAGAGCTTTTCCATTACTTTATAAATGTTATAATAATCTTTTCTATGTCTATTTTTAAAATTTTTTCTAGGTATATTTTTAAAATGCTGGGATTTTTATGTGAATTTTGTTTGTTTGTTTGTTTTTTGAGATGGAGTCTTGCTCTGTCGCCCAGGCTGGAGTTTACTGACACAATCTTAGCTCACTGCAACCTCCACCTCCTGGGTTCAAGCAATTCTTCTGCCTCAGCCTCCCGAGTAGCTGGAATTACAGGTGCCCTCCACCACACCCAGGCAATTTTTGTATTTTTATTAGAGACATGGTTTCATCATGTTGGCCAGGCTGGTCTCAAACTCCTGGCCTCAGGTGATCCACCCGCCTCAGCCTCCTGAAGTGCTGGGATTAGAGGCGCGAGCCACTGCACTCAGCCTGAATTGTGTTAACTCTGTAAATCAGTTTAAGGAGAACTTACATCTTTACTATAGTGATTGTGCTCCAGGAACTCAGTATGCCTTTCCTTAATTGGATCTTCGTTGATATTTTTCATCAGAATTTTATAATTTTTATCATACAGAACTACATATGCTTGGTGAGATTTATATATAAGTATTTCGTTCTCTTTGGAGCAATTTAAAATAGTTTTTTTTTTTTTTTTCTTTGAGACAGAGTCTCGTTCTATAGCCCAGGCTGGAATACGATGACACGATCTTGGCTCTCTGCAACCTCTACCTCCCGAGTTCAAGTGATTCTCCTGCCTTAGCCTCCCGAGTAGCTGGGACTACAGGCACCTGCCACCTCGCCCAGCTAATTTTTTTGTATTTTTTGTAGAGACTGGGTTTCACCATGTTGGCCAGGCTGGTCTCAAACTCCTGACCTCAGGTGATCCACGCCCCCCTCGGCCTCCCAAAGTGCTGGGATTACAGGCGTGAGCCACCACACCCGGCCTAAAATAGTATTATAGTTTATATTTTGGTTTCCCCTTGTCCATTGTCACTGTATAGAAATACAATTGATTTTTATACATTTATCTTGCATCCTGTGAACTTATTGAGCTCATTTATTAGTTCTAGAAAGTTTTTTCCAGATTATTTGATATTTTCTATCAAGACAATTATATCATCGTCAAATAGAGACAATTTTTTTCTTTTTTTCCATGAGGGTTTGTTTTTACTCTTTGACTGTTTTTTTTTTTTTTTTTTTTTTTTTTTTTTTTTGTATATTTTGAACTCTTCATAATGATTTTTTGTAAACCAAAATGATGTTTGGATCCTTAATACACTTCCCTGAACCCCATCCTGGAAAAACCCTCAAGATATACTCAGGTCAGAGGTCTCCAAGGAGCAGTTGCTTTGAACACTGCCCAGTGACCATGTGGCTTACCCAACCCTTGCAAATGCTTCCAGAAAATGTCTTTCTTTAGTCTTTTGCTGATAAGTTTAATCAGTCCACCAGTTTAGCATTTTGTATTCATAATGTAAATAAACCAGTTTCCCTGTGACTTTTTCCCTTTGTAGTCAAAGCTCTACACACCGAGCCCAGGGCCTTTTAATGCTTTCTGCTTTGCCAAAACCAGCCTTACTTTTCTGCCTATTTAAACATCATTGTTAGGGCCGGGCCTGGTGGCTCACGCCTGTAATCCCAGCACTTTGGGAGGCCGAGGTGGGCAGATCACAAGGTCAGGAGTTCGAGACCAGCCTGGCCAACATGGTGAAACCCCGTGTCTACTAAAAATACAAAAATTAGCTGAGTGTGATGGCAGGCGTCTCTAGTCCCAGCTACTCAGGAGGCTGAGGCAGGAGAATCGTTCGAACCCAGGAGGCGGATGTTGCAGTGAGCCGAGATCGCGCCATTGCACTCCAGCCTGGGCAACAGTGCGAGACTACGTCTCAAAACAAAAAACATCATTGTCAATATTCATCTTTGGTTTGAGCCTCCGTTTCTTTCTCCTTTAAATGAAATTGCTTAAGAGCAGATAAATGTTTTTCAGCACTTTATTCCTCCTTCTCAGTTCTCTTTGTTTCCCCTGCTTTATTAAAAATCTTAAATAATATCCATATTGTTGGCACCAGACTCTCATTGCCGAAACCCCATTTAGCTAAGCTAGTGCTGTGATCTCCCGGGCCTCCTAATGACATTCTTAAGCATGTCCCCCTCGGTGTGTGCGGAGGAAGCTGTGTCACTTATGTTGATCTGACAGAAGTCAACACAACAACAGCTCCCCTGCCAGTAGGATGCCCCGGGCTGGACTGTGCCTGTCAACTCCCTGCTGGAGGGTGGCTGTGAAATTTCTCATGCTGCCTTCTTGGAATTGTAGCCAGAGTGCATCCACAAAACAATGCTGCGGGATGCTGAATAACAGCCCCCAGTCATACACAGGTCCTTATCCTTAAAACCCATGAATAGCCTGTAATGAGGCCGAGGTGGGTGGATCACCTGAGGTCAGGAGTTCAAGACCAGCCTGGCCCACATGGCGACACCCCGTCTCTACTAAAAATACAAAAATTGGCCGGGCATGGTGGCTCACGCCTGTCATCCCAGCACTTTGGGAGGCTGAGGCGGGCGGATCACAAGGTCAGGAGATCGAGACCATCCTGGCTAACACAGTGAAACCCCGTCTTTACTAAAAATACAAAAAAAAAAAAAATTAGCTGGGTGCAGTGGTGGGTGCCTGTAGTCCCGGCTACTCGGGAGGCTGAGGCAGGAGAATGGCGTGAACCTGGGAGGCGGAGCTTGCAGTGAGCCGAGGTCTTGCCACTGTACTCCAGCCTGGGTGACAGAGTGAGACTCCGTCTCAAAAAAATAATAATAAAATAAAAATTAGCTGGATGTGGTGGCACGGGCCTGTAATCCTGACTACTCAGGACGCCGAGGCAGGAGACTCACTTGAACCTGGGAAGTGGAGGTTGCAGTGAGCTGAGATCACGCCACTGCACTCCAGCCTGGGCAACAGAGCAAGACTTCATCTCAAAAACAAAAATAAACAAACAAACAACAACAATAAAAACACGAATAGGTTACATTATATGGTAACAGACTTTAAAGATGCATTTCAGTTAATGATCTTGAGATGGGAGGATGATATCGGATTATTGAGGTGGATCCTCAATGTCATCAGAAGCATCTTTCTAAGAAGGAGGCAGAGGGAGACTGGACTAGCAAGAGAGTACGCGATGTCAGAACTAAAACGAGGTACGATGTTGCTGGCTTTGAAGGTGGAGGAACGGGCGACAGGCCAAGAAATGAAAGGAATACAGCTCTAAAAGCTGCAAAAGGCAAAAGAATAGCTTCTCCCCTAGAGCCAACCTTACTGAGACTTGAGTTTGAGCCTTTTTGGACAATGTGATAATAGGAGTTATCCCCTTGACATCAAAGTGACAGCTTTCAGCCTGCTGTTGGGGAAGATATGAAGGTTGCCCATGGAGTTTGTCTTCCATTACAGGCTCATATGCAAAGAATTTTGTTTGTTTGTTTATTGTTTTAGATGGAATCTTGCTCTGTCACCCAGGCTGGAGTCCAGTGGTGCCATCTTGGCTCACTGCAACCTCCGCCTCCCGGGTTCAAGCAATTCTCCTGCCCCAGCCTCCCAAGTAGCTGGGACTGCAGGCACCTGCCACCACGCCTGGTCAATTTTTGCATTTTTAGTAGAGATGGGGTTTTACCATATTGGTCAGGCCGGTCTCGAACTCCTAACCTCAGGTGATCCACCCACCTTGGCCTCCCAAAGTGCTGGGATTACAGGCATGAGCCACCGCGCCCGGCTTATATGCAAGGAGTTTCTAAGAAAGAGTGTGTTCAAGGAAGAGCATCAGGTCATGTTTTTTGAGAACTAACTACCTGCAGAGGCAGCAATAAACATGTTTGATGCGCTTGCCTGAGAGTGTTCAATTGTGTTAGTGTTAGAATCCCACCATTCCTGGCTCCCCTGTCCTCCAATGTAGACATATCACCTCTGGCTTTGCAGAAGAAACCTGAGCTGCAATAGAAATGATAGCAATTTTCATATTTTCATTCCCTTTTATCACTAGAACAGCTAATGCTTCCTGAACTATGCGTATCGGATTTAATCCTCACAGAGGGAAAGTCAGAGATTGGAGATCAGCCTCATCTGCAAAGTCAGGCAGGAGTCATATACCAGCTAAGCACTGACTCCAACCTGCATGGATCTCACCCCAAAGCACAGACTAATTTTAACCCCCAGGCCATTTTTATTTGCATCTTGTGTCTGGGACACATCATGTGTCATTTACATCAAGACTGAGCTCCAGGAGGGGAGGTTTTATCCCAACAGGACAGACCTTCTGGGTTTTCAGGCTAATCTCCAACCATTACCTCCACTCAGGTGTGTGTGGTAAATCCCCAACTCCTAGGAGCCCCATGTCACTCTGACCTAATTCACTTGCTCCAAACAAACTCTCTGTCTGAGTCTGTTTTGTGTTTCTATGAAGGAATCTCTGAGGCTGGATAATTTGTAAAGAAAAGAGGTTTATTTGGCTCATGATTCTGGTGGCTGGAAAGTTCAGGATTGGACATTTGCATCTGGTAAGGGCCTCGGGCTGCTTCCACTCAGAGTGAGAGAGTGTATTAATCTGTTTTCACACTGCTGATAAAGACATACCTGAGACTGAGGTTTTTTGGATGTACAGGTCCACATGTCTGGGGAAGTCTCACTATCATGGTGGAAGGCAAGGAGGAGCAAATCACATTTTACGTGGATGGCAGCAGATCTCATGAGACCCATCCATTATCATGAGAACCACATGAGAAAGACCTGCCCCCATAATTCAATCATCTCCCACTGGGTCCCTCCCACAACACATGGGAATTATGGGAGCTAGAAGATGAGATTTGGGTGGGGACATAGAGCCAAACCATAGATTTGGGTGGGGACACAGAGAGGAAGGGGAGCTGCATGTGCAGAGACCACATGTAGAGACAGGAAGCAAGAGAGAGAGAGTGTGTGTGGGGAGGTGCCAGGCTCTTTTTAACAGCCAGCTTTCATAATAACTCATAAGAGAGATAACTCACTTACTCTCAAGGATGGGCACTAATCTGTGCGTGAGGAATCCACTCCCATGACCCAAACACCTCCCATTAGTCCCCACCTTCAGCACTGGGGATGAAATTTCAGCACGACGTTTGGAGGGGTACAAACATCCAAACCATAGCATTCCTGAAACCATGCAACCAAAACCATCATTTTCATAGAAACTATCAGAAAAGCAGATCTGAAGTGGAAACGATGCATTCTCTGCCTCTCGCCAGCATCATGAGTTTCAGACCATGGAAATTTTACTTTGCCTGTTGTGGGTTTGCTCTGTCTTTTTGATCAATGTATCCATAGCAACAACAAGTGGCTTCTGCCTTGTGAATGCCTTGAGAAGTGAGGTAAACACAGAGTAGTGGAAATATCGGGATGCAGCAGGAGCACCTCACAAAATGAGATCCTCTCCTCCAGAATCTCCTTTCATTGTTGGTGCTGGTGCAATTCATCTTTCCCTGCTTTGCAGTAGAGACGTAAAAAATTTCAAACCCAACAGGCATCCCTGGTTGCTCCCTCCCCTCTGTCCAGTTAGTGATGGTGTGAGCAATCCTCCTTTTTTCTGGTCCTAGTGGTCTAGCATTAGACAGCAGGCCTGAGTTTGGAGAAATCCCACTGGAAGAGTCCTGCATGGGGAAGAACCTCCTGGCTCCTCCCAAGAAAGAAAAATGGCAGTCTTCAGTCTTCTAAGGTACTGACCTATGACGTAGCTCACATTACTCAAATGCATGTACTCCAGACTTTGAATCAGATACAAGGACGTGGCTATAATCTCAATGATGGTGCGTCTGCCAAATTCACGTGTTGGAACTTAACCCCCAAGATAATGGTGTTAGGAGGTGTGGGTCATCAGGAGGTAGGATGACTGCCCTCATACATGAGCTTGAGAAATTCTGCTTGCTCCTTCTGCCCCTCTGCCATGGGAGAACACAAAGAAGGCACCATCTTTGAAGCAGAGAGAGAGCAAGCCCTTAGCAGACACTACGTGGCCCTCAGCAGATGTAGGCTGAGAATTGGGAGAAGGGTCTTTGTCTATTGTTTGAGCTTATGGATGGTAGGAGGCACCCGGGTCTAAGGTGAGACTCTTTGTGTTTGAATCTTCCATGTATCTCAAAAAGCCATGAAAGGAACGAGTCTCCGTTCACGCTCTCTTTCTAGTTCCCTTTTCTTCTTCTTCCTCTTCCTCTCCTCCTTCCTCTCCTTCCTCTCCTCCTCCTCCTCCTCCTCCTTTTTTTTTTTGACAGAGTCTTGCTCTGTCACCAGGCTGGACTGCAGTGGCGTGATCTTGGCTCACTGCAACCTCCGCCTCCCAGGTTCAAGTGATTCTCCTGCCTCAGCTTCCCAAGTAGCTGGGACTACAGGCGCGCACCACCATGCCCGGCTAATTTTTGTATTTTCATTAGAGATGGGGTTTCACCATGTTAGCCAGGATGGTCTTGATCTCTTGACCTTCTGATCCACCCGCCTTGGACTCCCAAAGTGCTGGGATGACAGGCATGAGCCACCGCACCCGGCCCCTAGTTCCCTCTTCTATAAAATGCAGGAATGATAATACAGGTTGGCCATTCCTCATCTGGAAGTCCAAAACCTGAAATGCTCCAAAATCTGAAACTATGTGAGCAGCAGCATGGTACCATAAGTGGAAAATTACAGTGATACTAAGGTGGTGTGTGTTGGGAGGACTCTTTGTTCGTTGATGAAGGACAACGAACTCTTGACCTTATGTGAAAGGTCACAGTCAAAATGCAGTCAAAACCTTGTTTTATGCACAAAATTGTTAAAATGTTTAAAATTACCTTCAGGTCATCTGTGTAAGATGCATATGAGGCTGCGCGTGGTGGCTTACACTTGTAATCCCAGGATTTTGGGATGCCGAGGCGGGTGAAATCATTTGAGGTCAGGGATTCGAGACCAGCCTGACCAACATGGTGAAACCCCGTCTCTACTAAAAATTCAAAAAATTAGCCGGGTGTGGTGGCACGTGCCTGTAATTCCAGCTACTGGGAGGCTGAGGCAGGAGAATAGCTTGAACCTAGAAGGTGGAGCTTGCAGTGAGCTGAGATCACACCACTGCACTCCAGCCTGGGCGACAAAGGGAGACTCCATCTCAAAAAAAAAAAAAAAAAGATGCCTATGAAGCATAAACGAATTTTGCATTTAGACAAGAGCTCAATCCCAAGATAGCTCATTAAATATACGAATATAACAAAATCTGAAAAAATAAAATGTTTGAAATACGTCCAGTCCCAGGCATTTCAGATATAAGATACTCAACCTGTATTAACTTTCTGGTTTTCTGGGAAAATAAAATGAATGATTTTAAATCAAGAATTGGGCATAGGGCTTGGTTCTTAGTAAGTCCTCAGAATGTTCTTGTCATTGTTATGATAGTCCTCAACAATCCTAAAGATTGATATTCCATATTTCTACCGACTTGTCAAGAGCAGGAACAAACTATAATGATACGAAGGGTGGTGTGTGTTGGAGGACTCTGTTTGTTGAGGAAGAACAAGGAACTCTTGTCTTGACCTCATGCGAAAGGTCACAGTCAAAATGCAGTCAAAACTTTGTTTTATGCACAAAATCGTTAAAATATATAAAATTACCTTCAGATCATGTGTATAACATGCATATGAAACATAAATGGATTTTGTGTTTAGACAAGAGCCCCCTCTAGAGATACCTCATTATATATCCAAATATAAAAAAATCTGAAAAAATAAAATGTTTGAAAACACTTCCAGCCCCAGGCATTTCAGATAAGAGATACTCAACCCGTATTAACTTTCTGGTTTGCTGGGAAAATAAAATGAATGATTTTAAATCAAGAATTGGACACAGTGCTTCGTTCTTAGTAAGTCCTCAGAATGTTCTTGTCATTGTTATCATACTCGTCAACAATCGTAAAGATTATTCCATATTTCTACGTACTTGTCAAGAGCAGGAACAAATTACATCTTTTCCGTATATGCATTCCTGTTGGTTTGCTGATTTATCTATAAAATACCCGTGCACTTTTGTTCCCCCACTAGGTTTTTCGGCCCATCTGCTCTTTTTTTTGCAGAAGGGAATTAGAAGAAATAGGTTTAGGCTGGCATCACCAAAAGTCTTTTCTCTCTTTAAAAGATATTCTTATTTTCCACCCGTCTTCGACAGCAACTTTATTTTCACCAAAAAGAATCGATGTGGAAAATGTCTTCCCTTCCACACAGTTCACTGCAGACATGTGAAAAGCTGCAACGGACATTCCTGGCTTTACTCAAGTTTCTCAGGAAAGGGCTCCACAGAGAAATAATTCCTTCCAGGGACTTCAAGCTATGACCTTGGGGACTGAAATCTGGAGACAAAGGGAATGGGTGTTTGCCTTCACCTCATGAAAGGTGAATGAGGTTCTGCGGTCACAATGGCTTATGTTCGTTCTATCTTGTCTTGTTCTTTCTTTCACTTTCTTCTTTCTTTTTGAGACAGAGTTTCCTGCTTTCGTCTTTTTTTTTGAGACACTTTCTTTCCTTTCTTCCTTCTTCTTCCTCTTTCTTTCTGACAGTTTCCCTCCCTCCCTCCCTTCCTTCCCTCTCTTCCTTCCTTTCCTTCCTCCCTCCTCCCTTCTTTCTTCCTTCCTTTCTTCCTTCTTCTTCCTCTTCTTTCTTTCCTTTCTTCTTTCTGTTTCAGACAGTTTCTTCTTCTTTTTTAGACAGAGTTTCTTCTCTCTTTTTGAGACAGTTTCCCATCCTTCCTTCCTTCTCTCTCTCTCTCCCTTCCTTCCCTCCCTCCCTCCCTCCTCCTTTTCTTTTCTTTTCCTTTCCTTTCCTTTCTTTTCCTTTCTCTCTCTTTCTTTTCTTTCTCTTTCTCTTTCTTTCTTTCATCAGAGTATTGCTCTGTCACCCAGGCTGGAGTGCAGTGGTGCGATCTCGGCTCACTGCAACCTCTGCCTCCCAGGTTCAAGCGATTCTCCTGCCTCAGCCTCCTAAGTAGCTGGGACTACAGGCACATGCCAGCATGCCCAGCTACTATTTGTATTTTTAGTAGAGATGGGGTTTCACCATGTTCACCCAGCTGGTCTCGAACTCCTAACCTCGTGATCTGTCCACCTCGGCCTCCCAAAGTGCTGGGATTACAGGCGTGAACCACCACAACCGGCCGGTTTTTGTTGTTAAAAGCAATCTCCAGCTTTGTGAAAGTCATTAAGACAGGCGTCTGGATTTTCTTTTCTCTAAATCCTTGTTGTAAAACAACCCGAAGATTCCAATTATACGATGTGAAAGTCACAGAGTGGTGGGAAAAAGAAAATCATCACTCAACACTCCACGCCCGGAGCACTTGCTGTCTGTGTTCCGATGGATGATGGTCTGGCGTGAATACGCAGAGATCACCGATGTTGGCTGGACACTAGTTTATGTTGGTTTGAAAAATCAAGGGAATCTCACATCTTTCCCTTGTTGAGAGTGGCTGTGATTCACCTGTCACAAACACTTTCAGGAAAATTTCTGAGGATACACAGGCACGATGGGACCCCCCCCAACCTCAACTGTGCTCATGGGCAGACACACACACCGCTCAAGATAATTCTCCGAGCCCTGAGTCAGGGAACATGAAGTTTCTATGGGTTGAGATACAAAGCAGTAGACATAATTTCTTGTTACTGTTGTTTTGAGATGAGTCTTGCTCTGTCGCCCAGGCTGGAGTGCAATGGCACAATCTCGGCTCACTGCAACCTCTACCTCCTGGGTTCAAGTGATTCTCCTCCCTCAGCCTCCTGAGTACCTGGGATTACAGGTGCCCACCACCACGCCTGGCTAATTCTTTTTTTTTTTTTTTTTTTTTTTTGAGACAAAGTCTTGCTCTGTCACCAGGCTGGAGTGTAGTGGCCCAATCTTGGCTCACTGCAACCTCTGCCTCCTGGGTTCAAGCAATTCTCATGCCTCAGCCTCCCGAGTAGCTGGGACTACAGGCGCCCACCACCACTCCTGGCTTTTTTTTTTTTTTTTTTTGTATTTTTAATAGACACGGGGTTTCACCATATTGGCCAGGTTACTCTTGAACTCCTGACCTTGTGATCCGCCCACCTCAGCCTCCCAAAGTGCTGGGATTACAGGTGCGTGAGCCACCACATCCAGCTAATTTTTTTTTTTTTTGACCAAGTCTTGCTCTGTCACCAGGCTGGAGTGTAGTGGCACAATCTCGGCTCACTACAACCTTTGCCTCCTGGGTTCAAGCAATCCTCCTGCCTCAGCCTCCCGAGTAACTGGGACTACAGGCATGGGCCACCATGCCCAGCTACTTTTTTGCATTTTTTGTTTTTTTAGTAGAGACGGGGTTTCACCATGTTGGCCAGGCTGGTCTCAGACTCCTGACCTCCGGTGATCCACCCACCTCTGCCTTCCAAAGAGCTGGGATTACAGGGGTGAGCCACTGTGCTTGGCCTCAGTAGACATGTTTACATGGTTGTCCAGTTGCCTGCACACCTCCAACACACACCACCCTTCGTATCCTTGTGGTTTGTTCCTGCTCTTGACAAGTAGGTAGAAATAAGGAATACCAATCTTTAGGATTGTTGAGGACTGTCACAACAAGACAAAAAGAACTTAAAAGAACATACTGACAACCAAGTGCTGTGTTCAATTTTTTTTTTTTTTTTTTTTTTTTTGAGATGGAGTCTCGCTCTGTCGCCCAGGCTGGAGTGCAGTGGCGCGATCTCGGCTCACTGCAAACTCCACCTTCCGGGTTCACGCCATTCTCCTGCCTCAGCCTCCCGAGTAGCTGGGACTACAGGCAGCCGCCACCACACCCGGCTAATTTTTTGTATTTCTTTTAGTAGAGATGGGGGCCGTGTTCAATTCTTGATTCATAATTATTCATTTTGTTTTCCCAGCAAACCAGAGAGTTAATACAGGTTGAGTACCCCTTATCAGAAAGGCCTGGCACCAGAAGTGTTTCAAATATTTTGTTCAGGTTTTGTTACAGTAGGGATTGTAACCAGTAATGGTGAAGCTTCTTTCAGTACATTGTCAGATGGGGCATGTCACAATCAACAGCTAAATAATAAGGAGAAACCCCAAATATGGCAGGGCTTGCCTCATCTCCCCACATAAACATCCTTCCAGAAAATGAGCATCTTTACTAAGCTAGACGGGCTTCTGCCCATTGTATGCTCTATAGCTGGGAGTGCTGAAGAGGCCAACATCTAAAATTAAGACTTGAGAGCATATGTAGGAATGTAAGTTAGTAGAGGCACTGTGTGAAAATAGTAAAGAGATTCCTCACAAAGCTAAAAATAGAACTACCATCTGATCCAGCCATTCCCCTGCTGGGAATTTATCCAAAGGAAAGGAAATGAGTATATCGAAGGGATTTCTGCAACCCCGTATTTACTGCAGTACGGTGCACAGTAGCCGAGACATGGAATCCGCCTCATTGTCCATCAATGAATAAAGAAAGAAAGAAGATGTGGCCGGGTGCGGCGGCTCACGCCTGTCATCTCAGCACGTTGGGAGGCTGAGGAGAGACGATCACCTGAGGTCAGGAGTTCGAGACCAGCCTGGCCAACATGGTGAAACCCCGTCTCTACTAAAAATACAAAAATTAGCCAGGCATGGTGGTGGGTGCCTGTAATCCCAGCTACTCGGGAGGCTGAGGCAGGAGAATTGCTTGAACCTGGGAGGTGGAGGTTGCAGTGAGCCGAGATCGCACCACTGCACTCCAGCCTGGGCAACAGGAGCAAAGCCCTATCTAAAAAATAATAATAATAATAATAATAAAATGTGTTAGGAGACTTTGACACCTACTATTATTGTACCAGTCTTATGTTTCCCTTACAATCTATCGTGGCTCACACCTGTAATCCCAGCACTTTGGGAGGCCGAGGCGGGCAGATCATGAGGTCAGGATATCGAGACAATCCTGGGGAACATGGTGAAACCCCATCTCTACTAAAAATACAAAAATTAGCCGAGTGGGGTGGCAGGCACCTGCAATCCAAGCTACTTGGGAGGCTGAGGCAGGAGAATCACTTGAACCTGGGAGGCAGATGTTGCAGTGAGCCGAGATCATGCCATTGCACTCCAGCCTGGGTGGTAGAGTGAGACTCCATCTCAAAAAAAAAAAAAAGTTTGCTTTGTGTATTTGGGAACTCTGATGTTTTCAGCATGTATATTTACAATTGTTATGTATTCCTGTGGAATCAACCATTTTGAGTTACATGAAGACCTTCTTTGTCTCTTGTGACAGCATTTGAATTAAAGTCTATTTTGTCTGAAAAAGAGAATGTTTTATATATATACAATGGTGCAGCCATCAAAAGGAAGGAAGTCCTGTCATTTGCAGCAACATGGATGACCCTGGAGGTCATTATGTTACATGAAATAAGCCAGACACAGACAGACACGTTTTCTGTGTGTTCACTCATACTTGGGCACTAAAAAGGTTATCTCATGGACATAGAGGAGAATGATGGATAAGAGATCCTGGAAATGGTTTGTGGAGACAGTGTTTAGATGAAGAGTTTGGTTAATGGGCACAAAGATCCAATTACATAGAACATATAAGTTCTGGTTTTTTTTTTTTTTTTTGAGGCAGAGTCTCACTCTGTCGCCCAGGCTGGAGTGCAGTGGTGCGATCTCGGCTCACTGCAACCTCCGCCTCCCGGGTTCAAGCGATTCTCCTGCCTCAGCCTCCTGAGTAGCTGAGACTACAGGCGCCCGCCACCACGCCTGGCTAATTTTTGTATTTTTAGTACAGACAGGGTTTCACCATATTGGCCAGGCTGGTCTCGAACTCCTGACCTCGTGATCCGCCCTCCTCGGCCTCCCAAAGTGCTGGGATTACGGGTGTGAGCCACCGTGCCTGGCCCGTGAGCCATCACGCCTGGCCAGAAGATGTAAGTTATAATGTTCTATGGTAGAGCAGGGTCACTATAGTTAGCCAGAATGTATTATATATTTGAAAGCAGCTAGAAGAGAAAACTGGAAATTTTGCTAACACACAGAAATGACTCCAGGTGCTGGACGCGCCAAATACCCCAGCTTAATCATTACACTTTCTAGGCAGGCAGCAATAAATCACATGGAAGGCAGACATCTATAAACTATCACGTACCAATAAAAAAGATCCCACAGCACAGCTGATCTCATAAATAAATATATTTTTCAGTAGAAGCAGAAATAGAATCCTAATTCTGAGCTTGTTCTGTGATTTCTTCAAATATAAAGATATCATCAGCCATTTGAACCCTGTAAGTAACAGAAAGCCAGATAAGAGTGATTCTCAGGATGTTGCTTTATCCCTATGTCACAAATCGCTAAATAAGTAATTACCGGAAAAGAAGCCATGAATGTCACTAGCCATTTTTAAGTTTTTTGTTTTCTCTTTTGAGATGGAGTCTCACTGTGTCACCCAGGCTGGAGTGCAGTGCTGCAATCTCTGCTTGCTATAACCTCCATCTCCTGGATTCAAGCGATTCTCCTGCCTGAGCCTCCGAAGTGGCTGGGACTACAGGTGCACGCCACCACGCCCAGCTCATTTTTGTATTTTTAGTAGAGACAGGGTTTCACCATGTTGGCCAGGCTGGTCTCAAACTCCTGACCTCAGGTCATCCTCCCGCCTCAGCCTCCCCCAAAGTGCTGGTATTACAGGAGTGAGCCACCGTGCCCAGCCCATTTTAAATTATTACAGCATTCTATTTTTAAACTCACATCTCTTAAACATATTTAGTTCTTATTTTTAGTCACTGCCAACACTAGGACATAAAACCATAATAATTTCAGCAGTTTACAAAAAACCCTTGAAATTTGAACACCTGTATGAACCAACCATCTGTGGTTATTTAAACCACATTTATTTGAAATTAGAGAATGAAGTACAGAATCTCTTTAGAACTGTGACCTTCTTCAGCCCAGAGGTTATTGATTCTTTATCCCCTTTACCTATTGTATTATCAGTCAATGAGCGGGAAATAAATCTGCAATTGTTGAATAGCCTACTGACCAAATTAATGAATATTCCTTGGTGCTTTCTTGCAATTCTGTGGCTTAATTAAGGATCTTTAAAAATATTAGTTTTTCGGCCGGGCGCGGTGGCTCACGCCTGTAATCTCAGCACTTTGAGAGGCCAAGGCGGGTGGATCACCTGAGGTCAGGAGTTCGAGACCAGCCTGACCAACATGGAGAAATCCCGTCTCTACTAAAAATACAAAATTAGTCAGGCGTGGTGGTGCTCACCTGTCATCCCACCTACTTGGGAGGCTGAGGCAGGAGAATCACTTGAACCTGGGAGGCAGAGGTTGCGGTGAGCCGAGATTGTGCCATTACACTCTAGCCTGGGCAACAAGAGTGAAACTTCGTCTCAAAAAAAAAAAAAAAAAAAGTAGTCTTTCATCCAGTTTTTTAAATAAAAAACTTTATGAAAAAATACTAGTTTTCCATACAGCTTTTAAAGAAATTGGTGGTCTATATTAAAAAATTAAAACCGGACCTGATAGGAGCTGGAGCACATAAATACATAGACTAGCAGCGGGCTTTTCTGTTCTTTATTTATTTTGTTTGTTTGTTTTCAATGCTCTCTGATACAATTAATGACCTTTCTCTACCCAGACAATGCTTCAGTCTATACCAGCTCACACAAAGAGAAAAAGTTCACACAGGTATGCCGGCGCGATCTTCAGAATCCCCACGGTTAAACACAATGGCCCTGCGGGCTTTTGAGACCAGACACGAAGCACGGAAGAATTTATCCTTTCCCCGATGCTATTGTTCCTAGTAATGTCTTTGACATTGGAATTCGACTAAAAAAAAAAAAAGGAGGGGATGCTGGTGGCATTTGACAATTTGTCAAGGGGTGAGTGTCAAAACTACTTCATTTACAGAAGTAGAAATTTTAGAGGGTAGCTCCAAACCCAACTGGTCCAGTAGGATACTCACCTTACAGGGGGGGTCTCAAGAGTCTCACAGTTCCCTTGGGTCTTAAGAGACTCACTGTTGGACCAGGCGTGGTGACTCACGCCTGTAAAACCAGCACTTTGGGAGGCCGAGGCGGGCGGATCACTTGAGGTCAAGAGTTCAAGACCAGCCTGACCAAGGTGCTGAAACCCCGTCTCTACTAAAAATACAAAAATTAGCCAGGCATGGTGGTGTGCGCCTGTAATCCCAGCTACTCCAGAGGCTGAGGCAGGAGAATCTCTTGAACCCAGGAGGTGGAGGTTGCAGTGAGTCGAGATCATGCCACTGCACTCCAGCCTGGGTGACAGAGCGAGACTCCGTCTTAGAAAAAAAAAAAAAAAAAAAGAATCTCACAGTTCAGCAGGGTTCTAGCATGAGACAATGAGGACAAGGGTAGGTGAGCAGGTGGAAAGAGTGAGAACAGGTCAATTGTGATGGAGAAAATAATAAAGACAGAAAAGGCAGAAGACCGCCTGGCAGAAGACCTGTCCCAGCAGATACAAAAATACAGACAACAGGAGCCAGCATAGACCCTTGACCTGTGTAAGTCTTTCTCAGGCCTTCTTTTAAGTAGAAACATGCCTTTGAAAAAAAGTTTTAATAAACAGGAAAATCATAAATCCCTATTTACATAAATAATATATCCTGGTCTTATTCTTAGAACCATTGATTTTTCACGGCTCATTAAGAAAGCTGGGCGAGGTGGCTCACGCCCGTCATCCTAGCACTTTGGGAGGCCGAGGCGGGCAGATCACAAGGTGAGGAGTTGGAGACCAGCCTGACCAACACGGTGAAACCCAGTCTCTACTAAAAATACAAAAATTAGCTGGGGGTGGTGGTGTGTGCCTGTAATCCAAGCTACTCGGGAGGCTGAGGCAGGAGAATCGCCTGAACCCGGGAGGTGGAGGTTACAGTGAGCCGAGATCGTGCCACCGCACTCCAGTCTGGGAGACAGAGTGAGACTCTATCCTAAAAAAAAAAAAAAGGAGAAAAAAGAAAACAACATGGTCCTCAGTTAGTCGGTGGCAGGACTGAATCTCCAGTGACCGCTCTTCTCTTACCCAGTAATGAAAATTTAGCCATCAGAGAGAGGTCAGAACTTCTCATACACCCAGAAGGCTGAGAATACCTTTATGCCTGTTCTCCCTCCTCGTCAGCGAGTATGTCAATTGCTGTTTCTAAATGTCTTGGAGATGTTTATATTACAGTTTTGCATTTTGTGACAAGTGCCGTGCAGCCTGCTTTTCACCGTGAACCTGGAAACCTACCCTTCTAACACGATTTATCAGGCCTGTTCATAACTGCTCACTCCACACCGTGTTTTAAACGCCCAGCATTGACTAGAAGCTCAGCCACGGAAATCAATTCTTTCCATCACGGTTCTGCCCTCCAATGATAGACAAGGCAGTTTTCCTGTACAAGTGCCGTGGATTTCTGCAAGATATAATTAATGCTTTGTCACTTTCTCCCCAGAAAGTTGCCTTTGTTTATTGCACTGCGAAATTGGAAGTTGGCAAAGGTGAAAGGTAGTTCTCCTGTGAGAATACATTGTGATTTTTTTTTTTTCCGTAAGAAATTTAAGATGACAGCCGGGCGTGGTGGATCATGCCTGTAATCCCAGCACTTTGGGAGGCTGAGGCGGGCGGATCCATTGAGGTTGGGAGTTCAAGACCAGCCTGGCCAACATGGTGAAACCCCATCTCTATCAAAAATATAAAAAATTACCCAGGTGTGGTGACGCACTCCTGTAATCCTGGCTACTCGGAAGGCTGAGGCAGGAGAATCGCTTGAACCCGGGAGGCAAAGGTTGCAGTGAGCCGAGATCGCACCATTGCATTCCAGCCTGAGTGACAGAGTGAGACTCCATCTCAAAAAAAAAAAAAAAAAAAAAAAGCACAAGGGAAGATGGGGGCGCACTCCTGTAATCCCAACTACTTGGAAGTCTGAGGCAGGAGAATCACTGGAACCTGGGAGGCAGAGGTTGCAGTGAGCCGAGATCACACCATTGCATTCCAGCTTGGGCGACAGAGTGAGACTCCATCTCAAAAAAAAAAAAAAGAAATTTAAGATGACAACTAAAGCTTTCCTAACAAGGAGTGACACTGTGAAGGCTATGGAGGCTATCCCACTATTTAAATGCAGGGAAGAGGTGGAGAAAAGGGAGAGGAAGCAAGGATCCCAGAAACACACATCAAGCAGACACGCCCAAGTTTAGAAATAGTCTGAAAAGGTTAACTTGCTTCGTTCCAAGAAAAACCTAAATGTACCTGGATTCAGAGAAGTTGTTTAGTCCATGAGATGAATTTTTTTTTTTTTGAGACAGAGTCTTGCTCTGTCTCCCAGGCTGGAGTGCAGTGGCATGATCTCAGCTCACTGCAACCTCTGCCTCCCAGGTTCAAGCGATTCTCTGGCCTCAGCCTCCCGAGTAGCTGGGATTACAGGCACGTGCTACCACACCCGGCTAATTTTTGTATTTTTAGTAAAGAAGGGCCACCATGTTGGCCAGGCTGGTCTCGAACTCCCAACCTCAGGTGATCCATCTGCTTGGCCTCCCGATGTGCTGGGATTATAGGCATGAGCCACCATGCCCGGACTAATTTTTGTATTTTTAGTAGAGATGGGGTTTCACCATGTTGGCCAGGCTGGTCTCGAACTCCCGACCTCAGGTGATCCACCTGCCTTGGCCTCCCAAAGTGCTGGGATTATAGGCGTGAGCCACCACGCCCGGGCTAATTATTGTATTTTTAGTAGAGATGGGGTTTCACCATGTTGGCCAGGCTGGTCTTGAACTCCTGATCTCAAGTGATCTCCCTGCCTCAGCCTCCCAAAGTGCTGGGATGACAGGCATGAGCCACCATGCCTGGCCAGAAGATGTGGGTTTCTGATCTGAATTTCCATTTTGACTTCATATACGCCATGGACAAATGTATCCCACTTTGATGACTATAAATTCCTTCTCTCATTTTCTTCTCACATCTTAGCAAGCCTTTCTTTTTTTTTTTTTTTTTTTTTTTTTCTAATTTTAACCCTTGTCTCTTTGAGCCAAATCAAATACATTAATTATTGGATCAAGGATAACTTTTATAAAAGGGTCTGGGACAAGGATTAACATTCCCCCTTTCTTGGCTGGTGTCTTTTGTCCTGAAATCTTACTTTGTCTCATTCATAGTAAAATAGGTTATTTTTCACACTCCTCTCTTCCTTTCGCAAACGCCAAAGCCGTAAATGCATTGAGATCAGAGGCTTCTCATTATTTGTAATTATCCCCTCAGCCGAATGCAAGAGGGCCCCGTGGGTAAGGCAGGGTGTTCACGAATACGCCGGCGTTTTCATCACCATCGATACCATCTCGGCTCTTTGCCCCTACTCCCCTGACGATTCTCGCTTCCCCCAGGATAATTACTGGCTTCTTACACTTGAACCCTTACTGCTCTCAGGAAAAGAATGTATCCCGTCCTCCTGGCGCACCGACATTCTTATTTTAAACAGCCGGGGACTGCCCGCCTCTCTCACTCTTTCCACCCTGCAGGATACCATTGTCATTTGCTAGCAGGGGAAACGCAACAATGTATCAGAGTCCAGATTCCAGAAACCCCAGATGCTCGGATTTGTGTTGAGGCCGCTCTGGGGACGTGACAGCACATTTTTGTTGTTGTTGTTGCTGACAGTTTTGTGCGTGATTTGCATCTCCCATCCTTTTTCTACCTGTGACTTCTCATCCAGGAGGCCAAGGGAATGGATGCATATTTCAACATTTCAACCTTTTTTTTTTTTTTTTTTTTAGTAAAAATGCATATATCGGCCGGGTGCGGTAGCTCACGCCTGTAATGCCAGCACTTTGGGAGGCTGAGGTGGGTGGATCCCTTGAGGTCAGGAGTTCGAGACCAGCCTGGCCAACATGGGGAAACCCTATTTCTACTAAAAATACAAAAATTAATCAGTTATGGTAGCACATGCCTGTAATCTCAGCACTTTAGGAGGGCAAGGCGGACAGATCACCGGATGTCAGGAGTTCAAGACCAGCCTGGCCAACATGGCAAAACCCTGTCCGTAGTAAAAATACAAAAATTAGGTGGTGTGGTGGTGGGTGCCTGTAACCCCAGGTACTTGGGAGGATGAGGCAGGAGAACGGCTTGAACCCAGGAGGCAGAGGTTGCACTGAGCCAAGATCACACCACTGTACTCCAGCCTGGGCAACAGAGTGAGACTCTGTCTCAAAAAAGAAGAAATAAGCTGGGCATGGTGGCTCACACCTGTAATCCCAGCACTTTGGAAGGTCAAGGTGGGTGGATTACGAGGTCAGGAGTTCAAGACCAGCCTGGCCAACACAGCAAAACTCTGTTCCTAGTAAAAATACAAAAATTAGCCAGATGTGGTGGCGGGCGCCTGTAACCCCAGCTACTCGGGAGGCTGAGGCAGGAGAATCGCTTGAACCCAGGAGGCAGAGGTTGCAGTGGGCCAAGATCATGCCACTGCACTCCAGCCTGGACGACACAGCAAGACTCCGTCTCAAAATACAAGAAATAGGCCGGGCGCAGTGGCTCACGCCTGTAATCCCAGCACTTCGGGAGGTCGAGGTGGGTGGATCATGAGGTCAGGAGTTCGAGACCAGCCTGGTCAACATGGCAAAACCCTGTCTCTAGTAAAAATACAAAAATTAGCCGGATGCGGTGGCGGGTGCCTGTAACCCCAACTACTCAGAAGGCTGAGGCAGGAGAATCACTTGAACCCAAGAGGCGGAGGTTGCAGTGAGCCAAGATCACGCCACTGCACTCCAGCCTGGGCAACAGAATGAGAGAGACTCCATCTCAAAAAAGAAGAAATAAATACAATACAAATTTAAAAAAAAATAAAAATGCATATGTCTTGATTATCAATGTCTGCATTTCATAGGTCACCTTAGCTGGGCTGTTTGTATTTTTTGTTTGTTTGTTTGTTTGAGATGGAGTTTTGCTCTTGTTGCCCAGGCTGGAGTGCAGTGGCGTGATCTCGGCTCACCACAACCTCCACCTGCCGGGTTCTGAACCCTGATACTGACAACAATGAATATATAAAGACACTCAAAGCTGCCGTTCTCTGCTGATAATGCTGGCTGTCATTATATTCCCATCAGCTGAAGATGATTTTATGACGTCCGAGGAAGCCCCCGGCCCTGAATGAGTAAATTCCTCCTGCGGTGACATTTAAAATTCCATTTCCCGTTATTCATGTTTTACCGAGGGGGCAAAGCCTCGCTCTGTCCTCGACTTCAGAAGCCACTGTTGGTCTCCTTCCTTTGGAAAATTTAATTTTTAAGGGACAAACAATGATTGCATGTATTTGTAGGGTACAGTGTGAAATTTTGATATATGTACACATCATGGGATAATTGCATGAAGCCAATTAACATATCCCTCACCTCACCTACTTTTCTTTTGTGTGTGTGTGTGTGGGTGGTGCACGCATTTAAAATCCTACGTTTAGGCTGGCGCGGTGGCTCACGCCTGTAATCCCAGCACTTTGGGAGGCCGAGGCAGGCAGATCACGAGGTCAGGAGATCGAGACCATCCTGGCTAACACGGTGAAACCCCATCTCTACTAAATAAAAAAATTAGCCGGGCGTGGTGGCGGGTGCCTGTAGTCCCAGCTACTCGGGAGGCTGAGGCAGGAGAATGGCGTGAACCCGGGAGGCGGAGCTTGCAGTGAGCTGAGATCGCACCACTGCACTCCAGCCTGGGCGACAGAGCGAGACTCCCTCTCAAAAAAAAAAAAATGAAAGAAAGAAAGAAAAAAGAAAAAAAATATCATCTGTTTATTGCAGGACTGTTCACAATAGCAAATACATAGAATCAACCCAAGAGTCCATCAACACGTGAATGGGGCTGGGCGCGGTGGTTCACGCCTGTCACCCCACCACTTTGGGAGGCCGAAGTGGGCGGATGACTTGAGGTCAGGAGTTCGAGACCAGCCTGACCAACATGGTGAAACCCCATCCCTACTAAAAATACAAAAATTAGCCAGATGTGGTGGTGGGCACATGTAGTCCCAGATACTCCAGGCTGAGGCAGGAGAATCGCTTGAAACTGGGAGACGGAGGCTGCAGTGAGTCGAGATCGCGCCACTGCACTCCAGCCTGGGTCACAGAGTGAGACTCTGTCTCAAAAAAAAAAAAAAAAAAAAAAAAGGAAAGATTATAGGATAAGGACCTGGCACGGTGGCTCACGCCTGTAATCCCAGCACTTTGGGAGGCTGAGGTGGGTGGATCACCTGAGGTCAGGAGTTCGAGACCAGCCTGGCCAACACAGTGAAAGCCTGTCCCTACTAAAAATACAAAACTTAGCTGGGCGTGGTGGCAGGTGCCTGTAATCCCAGGTACTCTGGAGGCTGAGGCAGGAGAATCACTTGAACCTGAGAGGCAGAGGCTGTAGTGAGCCGAGATCATGCCACTGCACTCCAGCCTGGGGTGACAGAGGGAGATTCCTTCTCAAAACAACAACAACAAAACAGATGACTGGAGAAGGAAAACGTAGGGTATAAACAAAGGGGAAAACTCTTGAGCTGTAAGAGTGAAGGAAATCCTGTTGGCTGCTGCAACATGGATGGAATCAGAGGCCATTATGTCAAGAGAAAGAAGCCAGGCACAGAAAGACCAATATCGCACGTTCTCACTCCTAGGTAAGTGCTAAACACTTAGGGGGAAAAATAGATAACAGAGCCCGAGAAGGGTGAGAGAGACGGAGGGAGGAGGATGCAGAGAGGTGGGTTAAAGGCTGCACACATACATTAAGATACGAGGAATGGCCAGGTGCGGTGGCTCACGCCTGTCATCCCAGCACTTTGGGAGGCCGAGGCAGGCGGATCACCTGAGGTCAGGAGTTTGAGACCATCCTGGCCAACATGGTGAAACCCCATCTCTACTAAAAATACAAAAATTAGCGGGGTGTGGTGGTGGGCGCCTGCAGTCCCAGCTACTCAGGAGGCTGAGGAAGCAGAATCGCTTGAATCCGGGAGGCGGAGGTTGCAGTGAGCCGAGATCGCGCCACTGCACTCTAGCCTGGGTGACGGAGGGAGACTCCATCTAAAAAAAAAAAAAAAATAGATACAAGGAATACATTTGGGGTTCCATAGCAGAATAAGGTGTATAGACTTAACACAAAAATACTGTATTCAGGTGATGGATGCCCTGAATACCTAGATCACTACACGTTTTATACATGTAACAAAATTTCTCATGGAACCCCTAAATTTGTACAAAACAAGAAAACACAAAAGCATACCAAAATAAAAAAACTCTACTCTCAACAATTTTGCAATGCACAGTACTTTATTATTAACAAAAATAAAAATAAAATCTACTCTGAACAATTTTGAAAGGCACAGTACCTTATTATTAATTAACAAAAATAAAAATCTACTCTGAACAATTTTGAAAGGTACAATACTTTATTATTAAACAAAAATAAAAATAAAATCTCTGAACAATTTTGAAATGCACCGTACTTTATTATTAAAAACAATAATGAAACCGACCCTGAACAATTTTGCAATGCACAATAATTTATTATTAACAAAAATAAATTAAAAATAAAACCTATACTGAACGATTTTGAAATGCACAGTACTTTATTATTAAAAATATATATATAAAACCTACTGTGAACATTTTTTTTTTTGAGATGGAGTCTCACTCTGTGGCCCAGGTTGGAGTGCAGTTGCACTATCTCGGCTCAGTACAACCTCCGCCTCCCGAGCTCAAGCGACTCTCCTGCCTCCACCTCCCGAGTAGGTGGGATTACAGGCACCCACCACCACACCCAGCTAATTTTTGTATTTTTAGTAGATATGGGGTTTCACTGTGTTGGCCAGGCTGGTCTCGAACTCCTGACCTCAGGCGATCCACTCACCTTGGCCTCCCAAAGTTCTGGGATTACAGGCATGAGCCATCTCGCCTGGCCTTACTCTGAACAATTTTGAAATGCACAGTGATTTATTATTAACAAAAATAAAATTAAAACCTATATTGAACAATTTTGAAACGCACAGTACTTTATTATTAACAAAAATAAAACTAAAAATAAAATCTACTCTGAGCTATTTTGAAATGCACAGTACTTTAGTATTAAAAATATATATAAAACGTATTGTGAACAATTTTTTTTTTTTTTGAGACAGAGTCTTACTCTGTCACCCAGGCTGGAGTGCAGTGGCGTGATTTGGGCTCACTGCAACCTCCATCTCCCGGGCTCAAGCGAGTCTCGTGCATCAGCCTCCCTAGTACATGGGATTACAGGTGAAGCACCACCACACCCAGCTAATTTTTGTATTTTTAGTAGAGACAGGGTTTCACCACGTTGGCCAGGCTGGTCTTGAACTCCTGACCTCAGATAATCCAAAGTGCTGGGATTACAGGCATGAGCCAGCGCGTCTGGCCCTACACTGAACAATTTTGAAATGCACAGTGTTTTATTATTAATTAACAAAAATAAAAATAAAACCTACTCTGAACAATTTTGAAATGCACAGTACTTTATTATAAATTAACAAAAATAAAAATAACCTATACTGAACAATGCTGAAACGCACAGTGGTTTATTATTAATTAACAAAAATAAAACCTACTCGGAACAATTTTGAAATGCACAGTGCTTTATTATTAATTAACAAAAATAAAACCTACTCGGAACAATTTGGAAATGCAGTGTTTTATTATTAATTATGTCACCGTGCTGTGCAATAGTTGTGCAGACCTTATTCCTCCTGTCTAACCAAAACTGAATTATCTGACCAACATCTCTCCCCGTGACCTCCACTAGTCTCTGCTACCCACCCTTCTACTCTGCTTCTGTGAGTTTGACTTTTTTAGATTCCACATAGCAGTGAGACCATGTGCTCTTCATCTTTCTCTCTTTCGTGTGTGTGTGTGTGTGTGTGTGTGTGTGTGTGTGTGTGTGTGTTTTTCCCAAGATGGGGTCTTGCTCTGTCACCCAGGCTGGAGTGCAGTGGCATGATCTGGGCTCACTGCAACCTCCGCCTCCCAGGTTCAAGTGCTTCTCCTGCCTCATCCTCCCAAACAGTTGGAATTACAGGCGCGCGCCACCACGCCCAGCTAATTTTTTGCATTTTCAATAGAGACAGGTTTTCACCATGTTGGCAGTACAGTGGTGCAATCTCGGCTCACTACAGCCTCTTCCTCCCAGGTTCAAGCGATTCTCCTGCCTCAGCCTCCCAAAGATCTGGGATTACAGGTGCGCGCCACCACGCCCAGCTAATTTTTTTGTATTTTCAGTAGAGATGGGGGTTTCACCATGTTGCCCAGGCTGGTCTCCAACTCCTGACCTCAAGTGATCTGCCCGCCTCGGCCTCCTCAAAGTGCTGGGATTACAGGCGTGAGCCACCACGCCTGCCTCTCTCTTTCTTAAGTTGACAGAAGAGGATTGATTTGGCCCAAGTACAAGAGTCACCATGTTGGTCAGGCTGGTCTCAAACTCCCGACCTCAGGTGATCCGCCTGCCTGAGCCTCCCAAAGTGCTGGGATTACAAGCGTGAGCCACCACGACTGGCCTCTGTGTAATTTCTTGCTAACACGGTGAAACCCCGTCTGTACTAAAAGTAGAAAAATTAGCCTGGCATGGTGGCGCACACCTGTTATCCCAGCTACCTGGGAGGCTGAGGCAGGACAATTGCTTGAACCAGAGAGGTGGAGCTTGCAGTGAGCCAAGATCGCACCATTGCACTCCAGCCTGGGCGGCGGAGTGAAACTCCATCTCAAAAAATAAATAAATAAATAAATAAATAAATAAATAAATAAATAATAAATGACAGAAAAAGAAAAAAGAAATTATTTAGGTGGATAGTTAGGGTGAAAGGGCCCCCGGCAAAAAGTTTCCTTCTAGCAAAAAGCAGCTCGTGGCCACGGTGGCTCATGTCTGTAATCCTAGCACTTTGGAAGGCCAAACTCCATCTCTAATAAAATGCAAAAAAAAAAAAAAAAAAAAATTAGCTGTGTGTGATGGCGGGTACCTGTAATCCCATCTACTCAGGAGGCTGAGACAGGAAAATCGGTTGAACCCGGGAGGCGGAGGTTGCAGTGAGCCGAGACTGTGCCACTGCAATCTAGCCTGGGCGACAGAGCGAGACTCCATCTAAAAAAAAAAAAGGCAGCTTGAGAAATTGCTTCCTTTCTAACCACACGCCACTCAAAGAAATCACTTCTCTTCTAACAAAGAGCAGCCTGGAAGATGGAGCCGTAAGTTACAGAAAAGCAGGTCCAGCACAGACCTGTTCGAGACCAGCCTGACCAACATGGTGAAACCCCGTCTGTACTAAAAGTAGAAAAATTAGCCTGGCATGGTGGCACGCACCTGCAATCCCAGCTACTTGGAAGGCTGAGGCAGGAGAATCGCTTGAACCCAAGAAGCGGAGGTTGCAGTGAGCCAAGATCGCACCGTTGCACTCCAGCCTGGGCGACAGAGCGAGTCTCCATCTCAAAAAATAATAAGAAAAGAAAAGAAAAAGAAAAAAATTATTTAGGTGGATAGTTAGGCTCTCATTTCCTAGGTCATCACCAAACTTCACCTATGTACTACAGGTCCCAGTAAAGACAGGGGGCCTGACTGAGCACATTTCTTTCCATTTTTTGGACACACTCAGGTAGGAAAAATCTAAGACAGAGCTCACCGAGATAGGGAAAGTAGGAAAACCTACTCTGAGCAATTCTGAAATGCACAGTGCTTTATTATTCATAAATAAAAATAATGGTAAGCCTATTCCTTTCCCTTTTTCGGGTACATGAAGATAGGGAGGTTGGCATGGGTTGGCAGGGGGATGCCTGGCAGCTGCAAGGAGGTACCAGGGGCCAGGCACGGAAACTCCCCCTCCCCTTTTTAGCACACGGTGGAAGGAGATAGTCAACGTGGAGTAGCTCAAGCTACGAAGATGCCTGTGTGATGAAAGAGTGGGGTGGGGAGACTCAGCCGTATGCACAGACTCAGCCCTATGCAGATGGCACACCTGGTCCTAACCGGTTTTTTGTGCCCTATGTAGCTAAGATACCTCCTGCCCACTAGCTCATTTATAAAAACCCTTACATTTTACTGCGGTACGGCCCCCCCCCTTCTTTTTCTTTTGCCTGCACTCTGCTCCCTTAGAAACGCAGGTGGTTTTTTGTTTCATTTATTTATTTATTTAATTTTTTTGAGATGGAGTCTCGCTCTTGTTGTCCAGGCTGGAGTGCAGGGTCGCGATTTCGGCTCATCGCAACCTCCGCCTCCTGGGTTCAAGCGATTCTCCTGCCTCAGCCTGCGGAGTAGCTGGGATTACAGGCACCCACCACCACGCCTGGCTAGTTTTGTGTTTTTAGCAGAGACGGGGTTTTTCCATATTGGCCAGGATGGTCTCGAACTCCCAACTTCAGGGGATCCGCCCGCCTCGGCCTCCCAAAGTGCTGGGATTATAGGCATGAGCCACCGCGCCTCTGCCTCCCAGGCTCAACTGATCCTCCTGCCTCAGCGCCTTGAGTAGCTGGGATTTACAGGCTCATGCCACCACGCCTGGCGAATTTTTTTTTGTTTTTTGTATTTTAGTAAAGATGGAGTTTTGCCATGACTGGTCTCGAACTCCTCAGCTCAGACAATCTGCCCACCTCAGCCTCCCAAAGTGCTAAGATTACAGGTGTGAGCCACCGCGCCCGGCCTGTAACCTCACTCTTAGTGCATCCAAGTCCTTGATTTCCGTGGCTGTGAGACAAAGAAATTCTGGTGATATCACAGACTATTTCTCTTCTATTTCATAGAACAGACTATTTCTAGTCTATTTCGTAGAACAGACTATTTCTAGTCTATTTCGTAGAACAGACTATTTCTAGTCTATTTCGTAGAACAGACTATTTCTAGTCTATTTCGTAGAACAGACTATTTCTAGTCTATTTCGTAGAACAGACTATTTCTAGTCTATTTCGTAGAAGAGACTAGACTATTTCTCTTCTATTTCGTAGAACAGACTATTTCTAGTCTATTTCGTAGAACAGACTAGGCTATTTCTAGTCTATTTCGTAGAACAGACTAGGCTATTTCTACTCTATTTCGTAGAACAGACTAGGCTATTTCTAGTCTATTTCGTAGAACAGACTAGGCTATTTCTAGTCTATTTCGTAGAACAGACTAGGCTATTTCTAGTCTATTTCGGAGAACAGACTATTTCTAGTCTATTTCGTAGAACAGACTAGGCTATTTCTAGTCTATTTCGTAGAACAGACTAGGCTATTTCTAGTCTATTTCGTAGAACAGACTATTTCTAGTCTATTTCGTAGAACAGACTAGGCTATTTCTAGTCTATTTCGTAGACTAGACTATTTCTAGTCTATTTCGTAGAACAGACTAGGCTATTTCTAGTCTATTTCGTAGACTAGACTAATTCTCGTCTATTTCGTAGAACAGACTAATTCTCATCTATTCTACCGAGCACAGCATGTGCTAGTGAGTTTTTCACCCCTTTACTCCTCCCTCTCGTACTCTCCAGTGCAATGCCCTCATCTTGATGTTGATGGCCCACGGTTTCCATCCCACTCATACATGAGAACATGCAGTATTTGGCTTTCTGTTCCACCCTTAGTTCACTTAGGACTGTGGCCTCTGACTTCATCCGTGTTGCTACAAAAGACATGTGTTTTTTTGTTTGTTTGTTTTGTTTTTGAGATGGAGTCTCGCTCTGTCACCCAGGCTGGAGTGCAGTGGTGCGATCTCAGCTTACTGCAACCTCCACCTCTCAGGTTCAAGTGATTCTCCTGCCTCAGCCTCCCGAGTAGCTGAGATTACAGGCACGTGCCACCACACCTGGCTAATTTTTGTATTTTTAGTAGAGATGGGGTTTCACCATATTGGCCAGGCTGGTCTAGAACTCCTGACCTCGTGGTCCGTCCGCATCGGCCTCCCGAAGTGCTGGGATTACAGGTGTGAGCCACCATGCCCGGCCATGTTTTTATTCTTTCTTATGGCTGCAAAGTACCCTATGGTGCAGATATAGCCCCTTTTCTTTATCCAGTCCACCATGGATGGGTACCTGTGTCGATGCCACCTCTTTGCTGTTGTGACTGGTGCTGTGATGAACATATAGGTGCATGTGTCTTTGTGATAGGACAATATCTCCAGGAATGGGATTGCTGGGTGACATAGTAGTTCTGTTTTTTTCTTTTTTGTTTTTGTTTGGAGACAAGAGTTTTGCTCTTGTCCCCCAGGCTGGAGTGCAGTGGCGCGATCTCGGCTCACTGCAACCTCTGCCTCCCAGGTTCAAGTGATTCTCCTGCTTCAGCCTCCCGGGTAGCTGGGCTTACAGGCACCTGCCACCACACCCAGCTAATTTTTGAATTTTTGGTAGAGATGGTGTTTCAGCATTTTGGCCAGGCTGGTCTCGAACTCCCAACCTCAGGTGATCCTCCCGCCTCCGCCTCCCAAAGTGCTGGGATTACAGGCGTGATCCACCGTGCCCAGCCTCTGTTTTAATTTCCTCGAGAAATCTCTAAACAGTTGGAAGACAATTGCAAATGTTTCACAAGTCCCCCGCACCGCCACCAGGCAGAGTCTGCTGGCGACAAAAATCACCATGCCTGCCACAAATATTCTGCCCATTTCTCACCTGCGGATGGTCCCTCCTCCTCACCTGCCCCTCCTTAGAACAAGAGCAATAACAGGCGGCAAGGGACTTCCAGTGGTTTACACGCCCGTGTGATGCTGTGAATAGATTCTGACAAACTCAACTGGGGCAGGCAACTGGGGAAGATCCTCGGTGACTTAACTTGCTAACGATGGAAGACGGCTGGATCCTTTCAGCTACACTCCCTCCATCCACGGAGGTTCAAGATCCCAGGAGTGTTCAAGATCCCAGCAGCTCCAGCTCTCACGCTCAAGCTCAGCCAATGCAAAGGCCTCCCTTTCAGCATAAAAGGCTTCTGCCCAGGGAGATACAGCGTCTCGACCCCCACAAGAGGAAGCAGGTGACCTGGGAACTCATGACTTGTGGGATGAGTTCACCGGGGCTACCACAACGCAGTAACATCAACAGGGTGACGTGAACCATAGCAATGCATTTTCTCACAACGCTGGGGGCCAGAAGGTTGTTTTATAATCCTCCTCCTCTGACAATGCTGGGAGCCAGGGGTGCCAGATCAAGGTGCTGGCAGGGTTCATTCCTTCTGAGGGCTTTTTATAGTAAAACAATTTTTATTTGCTATTCAGTTATTATTCACTATGTTTATACATCTTTATACCTTTGTAAATATTTTTATTTAGTTTACATATATTTCATATATTTATGATGTTTTTATTTCTTCATTTATTTTGTTTATATATTTTTATAGATTTATATGACAACTTATATGTATTTTTATATATTTATAATTATTTTTATTTAGTTTATATAGTTTTATAGATTTATATTAGTTAGCTCATATGTATTTTTATGTATTTATCATTTTTACTTATTTATTTTGTTCATATATATTTATAGATTTATACATATTTTTATTTATTGAGCTTATAAAAATTTATATATAGTTTTAATTATTTTTATTTAGTTGATGTATATTTTTATTTTATTTTATGTTATTTATTTATTTATTTTTTGAGACGGAGTGTCACTCTGTCGCCCAGGCTGGAGTGCAGTGGTGCGATCTCGGCTCACTGCTAGCTCGGCCTCCCGGGTTCACGCCATTCTCCTGCCTCAGCCTCCCGAGTAGCTGGGACTACAGGCACCTGCCACTACACCCTACTAATTTTTTGTATTATTAGTAGAGACGGGGTTTCACCATGGTCTCGATCTCCTGACCTCGTGATCCGCCCACCTCGGCCTCCCAAAGTGCTAGGATTACAGGCGTGAGTCACCGCGCCCAGCCATACTTTTATAGATTTATAAATATTTTAATTTATTTTGTTTATATAAATTGTTATATATTTATAATTATTCATTTTGTTTATATAAATTGTTATATACTTATAATTATTTTTATTTAGTTAGTTTCTATATTTTTCACATCTTTATTTTCATATATATTTTTATATCTATTTTTATTTAGTTTCTATATTTTAATATATTTGTAATTATTTTTATTTATTTTGTTTCTGTGTATTATATATTGATAATTATTTCTTATTATTTAGTTTATATTTTTATATATTCATAATTATTTTAATTTATTTGTATATTTATAATTATTTATATATTTAAATATATTTGTTATTCATTGTATTTATTCATTTTGTTTATGCATATTTGCATATTTACACTTGTTTTTATTTATTTTGTTGATATCTTTTTATATATTCACAAGTATTTTTATTAGCCATTTAGTTTATAGGATTTTATATATGAGAGTTATTTTTATGTAGTTATTTCATTTATCTATTGAAGCTAACTTGGGAGAAGCTGGAATTCCTATAGAGGAGAATGGGATGGAAGCGATAATCACAGAAATGGCAGGAGATAACAGCTGTGAGTCAAACACATTTTCCGAAAAATGGCTGCCTTCTGGGTTCTCAGTGAAAATGTAAAAGAGAATCAATTCTAGACATATTCTGGGGGAATGTCAAACAAGAAAAAATAAAGAACATGCTGAGATTTTTTTTTTAAAAAAAGGTAGAACCTATACCGTTTATACGTTTTCACTTCATTTCGGCCACAAGAAATGACATAGTAATATTGAGTAGTCAATACTGATGGAAAAAAAAAAATCCTTCTCAAGAATTCTCCCTGAGATCATGGTAGAATTATATATATATATATATATTTTTTTTTTTTCAAAATACTGTTAAAATACTTTTAAATATAGTTGATTCCATTAACTATATTTCACTTGGTAATTGTCACATGCTGCAAACCCAAGGGATACACAGGAGACTATTTTCTTTTTTAATTTATTTTTATTTTTTATTTTTTAAGATGGAGTTTTGCTCTTGTCGCCCAGGCTGGAGTGCAATGGTAGGATCTCGGCTCCCTGCAACCTCCGCCCGCCGGGTTCAAGCGATTCTCATGCCTCAGCCTCCTGAGTAGCTGGGACTACAGGCGCCCGCCACCACGCCTGGCTAATTTTTGTATTTTTAGTAGAGACGGGGTTTCACCATGTTGGCCAGGCTGGTCTCAAACTCCCGAACTAAGGTGATCCGCCCGCCTCAGCCTCCCAAAGTGCTGGGATGACAGGCGTGATCCACTGTGCCCGGCCAGGAAACTACTTTCTAAGTAAGTGAATGAATTTTGAGTGGAATGGTCTAATCCTCTAAATCAAACCGTTTTTGTCATGGTTGATTTCTGCCTTCAGAGTGGTTAGGAAAGTGTAAAGAGGGCTGATTGTCAACAGGCACTTCAACATGCCTGAAACACGGAAAGTCAAACAGGTTATGATTGTTAAAAGTCTTGCAAAACTCAGAGCATAGCTAGCTCAGCCCTCTCGTCGGCTCTATCAAGCCACACAACAGGAACAAAATATCTTTAATAGGATTTTCTAAATACGTCCAAATCACGTGCATATTCCTCTCTGAGAGATGAAACCTCTATGAGTTTAATTTGTTTGATATTTTTCCTACGTAGACTACGGCCCTCTAATTAGGAAGAACGTCTTTTGCCACATTGCAGTTTAAACTGGGAGACTTTATAAATAATTAAAATATTTTCTAAAATTTCCCCAGTGGATATATGCTACCAAGAGTAACGTCCAGTTGGGAAGGAGACCTACCTAAGAAGAGATATTTGGAGAATTATTTTATGTATCTGCTGAAATGTTTATCACTTATATTTTGTTCCGGTTAGTTCCTATCAGTAGTTGGCTACTCAGTATTGCTGTGTCATTTCTTGTGGTTGGAATGAAGTCAAAACGGTATAGGTTCTGTCGTTGCTGCTGGTGTTGTTTTTAAATCTCAGCATAAACACTTCTTTATTTCTTTCTTGTTTGACATTCTATCAGAATATGTCTGGAATTGATTCTGTTTTAAAAAGCATGGGTGAATACAGTCCTGGGGAGTGTGTGTGTGTGTGTGTGTGTCTGTGTGTGTGTGAGAGAGAGAGAGAGAAGGAGAGAGAGGAAGAGAGAGGAGGGAGGAGAGAGAGACAGAGGAAGAGAGGAAGAAAGGAAGAGAGGAAGGGAGAAAGAAAGATAAAGGAAGAGAGGGAGGAAGACAGACAAGAAGACAGTAAGGGGAAGAGAGGGAAGAAGAGAATGAGAGAGAGAGGGACGGAGAAAGAGAGGAAGAGGGAGAGAGAGAGAGGAAGAAAGGCAGAGAGGGAAGGAGAGAGAGGGAGGAAGAGAGACAGGAAGGGGAAGAGAGAGAAGAGAATGAGAGAGAGACAGAGAAGGAGAAAGAAAGAGAATAAGGGGGAGACAGAGACAGAGAGAGGAAGAAAGACAGAGAAGGAGGAAGAGAGAGGAAGAGAGGCAGGAAGGGGGGAGAGAGAAGAAGAGAATGAGAGAGAGACAGAGAGGGAAGAAGGAAGAGAGGGAGGAAGAGAGAGGAAGAGAGGCAGGAAGAGGGGGAGAGAGAAGAAGAGAATGAGAGAGAGACAGAGAGGGAAGAAGGAAGAGAGGGAGGAAGAGAGAGGAAGAGAGGCAGGAAGAGGGGGAGAGAGAAGAAGAGAATGAGAGAGAGACAGAGAGGGAAGAAGGAAGAGAGGGAGGAAGAGAGAGGAAGAGAGGCAGGAAGGGGGGAGAGAGAAGAAGAGAATGAGAGAGAGACAGAGAGGGAAGAAGGAAGAGAGGGAGGAAGAGAGAGGAAGAGAGGCAGGAAGAGGGGGAGAGAGAAGAAGAGAATGAGAGAGAGACAGAGAGGGAAGAAGGAAGAGAGGGAGGAAGAGAGAGGAAGAGAGGCAGGAAGGGGGGAGAGAGAAGAAGAGAATGAGAGAGAGACAGAGAGGGAAGAAGGAAGAGAGGGAGGAAGAGAGAGGAAGAGAGGCAGGAAGAGGGGGAGAGAGAAGAAGAGAATGAGAGAGAGACAGAGAGGGAGGAAGGAAGAGAGAGAGGAAGAGGGAGAGACAGACAGAGGAAGAGAGGAAGAAAGACAGAGAAGGAGGAAGAGAGAGGAAGAGAGGGAGGAAGAGGGAGGAAGAGAGAGGAAGAGAGGCAGGAAGAGGGAGGAAGAGAGGAAGAGAGGCAGGAAGAGGGGGAGAGAGAAGAAGAGAAAGAGAGACAGGGAGGAAGGAAGAGAGGAAGAGGGAGAGACAGACAGAGGAAGAGAGGAAGAAAGAGAGGGAAGGAGAGGGAGAGAGGAAGAGAGAGGGAGGAAGAGACAGAGGAAGAGAGAAAAGAAGGGCAAAAGAGAGAAGAAGAGAATGAGAGAGACAGAGAGGGAGGGAGAAAGTGAGGAAGGGGGAGAGAGAGACAGAGAGAGGAAGAGAGGAAGAAAGAGAAGGAAAGAGACGAAGAGACAGAGGAAGAAAAGGAAGGAGAGAGAGAGGAAGAGACGGAGGAAGAGAGAGGGAGGAAGAGAAACAGGAAGAGGGAGAGAGAAGAGAGTGAGAGAGAGACAGAGAGGGAGGGAGGAAGAGAGAGAGGAAGGGAGAGAGAGAGAGGAAGAAAGGCAGAGAGGGAGGAAGAAAGAGAGAGAGGGAGGAGGAGAGACAGAAAGCCAGGAAGAGAGAGAGGCAGAGGACTGAGAGAGAGGAAGACTAGGAGGAGAGAGAGAAGAGGGATAGAGGAAATCAGAGAGAGTGGGAGAAAGAGAGAGTGGGAGAAAGAGGGAGGAAGAGAGAGGCAGAGAGAGAAAGAGACAGGAAGACACACACACACACACACACACAGGTGCATTCCACAAGCTACTTAGTGGAAAAGCAGATTCCTAACTTGTGTCCAGTCCTGCACATTTAGGGGCTATGAAAGGCTATTTCCGGCTGTCGTGCTATGTCTGTGCTCTCTTCGTCTTGGGCGTCCTGCAACAGAGAATCAACTGAGGTCCCTTCTTCAAATGCCCTCGCCTGAGTCTACATAAGGCTGAGGCCCAGGAGGGAGGGGGCTGCACTTGGGACCACTGGGAGGCCATTTGCTCCTGAGCCAGGGATGCAAGCGGAGCAGGTGAGTCGGTGCGGGGACCCTTTGCTGAGCGTGAAGCCTCAGGGAATTGCAAATGAAAGTCAGTCCCCCGTGAGAAAAGGAAGCAATAGTTCTAGCAGTGGCTTTAGTAATGAGGTAGTTGACGAGCTGTAGTAAGAGCATTAATTGCAGAAGTAGCACAGTAGAACTGGTAGTAGCAATAGTCCTGGCAGTGGTGGTAGTACTAATTGTTGAAGTAATAGTAACTATAGCAATGGCTGTATTAGTGGTGGTAGCAGTCCCAACAGTCCCGTATATAGTCCTTGGCGAGCATCTGGAGCTGCTGTACACATGCATTCCGTATATGAACTCACCTAATCCACTCAGTGACTTTGTTTTTTGTTTTTGTTTTTTTTCTAAGACGGAGTCTTGCTGGGTTGCCCAGGCTGGAGTGCAGTAACAAGATCTTGGCTCTCTGCAACCTCCGCCTCCTGGGTTCAACCAATTCTCCTGCCTCAGCCTCCCGAATAGCTGGGACTACAGGCGGATGCCACCAAAGCTGGCTAATTTTTGTATTTTCAGTAGAGACGGGGTTTCGCCATGTTGTTCAGGCTGGTGTCGAACTCCTGACCTCAGGTGATCCACCTGCCTCGGCCTCCCAAAGTGGTGGGATGACAGGCGTGAGCCACGGCGACCGGCCTAATCCCTGTTTTCATTTAAGCCTTCTGGGTTTGGTGTCATGCTCCCCCTGTGTTTCTGGAAGTCTTCTGAGATAACTGCAGAGTTTATGTAAATATAGATGTTACTCACCATGTGTTTCTTTCTGGAAGTCTTCTGAGATAATTGCAGAGTTTATTTAAATACAGACGTTAGTCAGCATTGGAAGGTATAGCGGGTTGAAGAGTATTTCTCCCAAATTGACATCCACCCAGAACCTCAGAATGAGATCTTATTTGGAAATAGGGTCATAGCTGATGGAATTAGTTGAGATGAGATCATCTTGGGTTAGAATGGGTCCTGAATGCAGAAGTATCCTCCCCTAGAGCCTCCAGAGGGAACTGAATGGCGACCCCCAAAATATGTTGATGTCCTGTTCTCCAGAACCTGTGAATGGAACCGTATTTGGAAATAAGGTCTTTGCAGATGCAGTTAGTTAAGGATCTGGAGATGAGATCGTCCTGGAGTAGGGTGGGCCCTAAATGCAATGACAGGTGTCTTTCTAAGACAGAAGAGGAGACACAGACACAGAGGAGGAGGCCACATGGAGGTGGAGGCAGAGACTGGAGTGATGCGGCCACAAGCCCTGGGATGCCTGGAGCCCCCAGGAGTGGGAAGAGGCAGGTTTCCTTAGAGCCTCCGGAGGGTGTGTGGTCCTGAGACACCTTGATCTCAGACTCCTGGTCTCCAGAACTGGGAGAGGATGAATCTCTATTGTTTGAAACTACTCATTTTGTGAACACGATTTTTAGGAAAGTCCCAGAAAAGTCATACAGAAGGATTTAAGAGTCCCTTTCTAAAGAAATCCTGATGCCACCCAAAATATTCATAAGCATGAAGGCGGCTCCTTCCAGACATGACTGAGTAATTTTTAATAACTACAACTTTGAGGTTCTCAAAAGTCTTTTTGGGGCACCCTGCTCAATTACTTTACAAATTCATGCTGATAAAACTTCACAATGGGAAGCTATAAATTTGGCAAGGCATGGCAGGGGACAGGGCAGAAGTGTTTCAATAAGTTGTCTAATTCTTTTTTTTTAACTTTTTAAAAAATTATTATACTTTAAGTTCTGGTATACAGTGCAGAACGTGCAGGTTTGTTACATAGGTATGTGTGTGCCATGGTGGTTTGCTGCATCCATCAACCCATCATCTACCTTATGTATTTCTCCTAATGCTCTCCCTCCCCTAGCCCCTCACCCCCTGACAGGCCCCCAGTGTGTGATGTTCCCTCCCTGTGTCCATGTGTTCTCATTGTTCAGCTCCCACTCATGAGTGAGAACATGTGGTGTTTGGTTTTCTGTTCTTGTGTTAGTTTGCTGAGAATGATGGTTTCCAGCATCATCCATGTCCCTGCAAAGAACATTAACTCATCCTTTTTTATGGCTGCATAGTATTCCATGGTATATATGTTAGGCTGTCTAATTCTTTATACATTGCTCTCTGCATCCTGGCTGAGTGCTGCATTGCTGGGAGGTTGTCAGAAGCTGAGACAAAAGCTGCTGTGTGCTGCTTTCTGGCTTTTCTCCCTTGTCCTTTTATCTTGGCACAAAGTCAAATAAAACTACAAGAGAAGACTATCTTCCCATTTCATCCCCTTTTCAGCTCCCCATCCTGCTGAAAGCCACTTTCATTACTCAATAAAATACTCTACCTATCTGTGCAGAGTATGCCAAAGGTTCTGCCCACATCAAAGACCCTTTCTTGCCATATGTTAACAGGCCACCCACATCAGGACCATGTCAGACCATGACAGGATATTGTTCTTGTCAATGTCCCTCTCGTTGGACTGGTTTATACACCCTTTTTTCTTTTCTTTTCTTTTGAGATAGAGTCTTGCTGTGTTGCCCAGGCTGGAGTGCAGTGGCGCGATCTCGGCTCATGGCAACCTCCACCTCCTGGGTTCATGCCATTCTCCTGCCTCAGCCTCCCGAGTAGCTGGGACTACAGGCGTCTGCCACCACGCCTGGCTAATTTTTTTGTATTTTTAGTAGAGATGGGGTTTCACTCTGTTAGCCAGACAGGTCTCTATCTCCTGATCTCATGATCTGCCCCTCTTGGCCTCCCACAGTGCTGGGATTACAGGCGTGAGCCACCGCGCCCAGCCTTATTAACCCTCTTTTCTATTCCCTTTCTCTTGATGGTAAATGTTGCTTTGTTTGTTGTGGAATGTTTAACCTGTACCATTGATATATTGATTAAGTATACTATTACGTATGGTTTGCAATATTAACTAACTTGGGGAGTGGCTTGAGCCTGTATGACTACAGCTCTGACTACCAAGTGAATGGGAAGCACTAAGGAGAATTGCCTCCTTGGGAACTCCATGTAGCTCGTGGTGATATGGACAGGAGGAAGGGAAATACTGGGTAGAAAAGCGTGGGGTCCTTGGCAAGTGCTCCACCCTCAAGCCTGGGCCCATGGTCCTAAATGACAACTTCACATCCCTTCACATACAGTAAGCATGACTGGGGAGGCCTCAGGAAACATACAATTATGGCAGAAGGCAAAGAGGAGGGAGGCATGCACGTCTTACATGGCACGAGCAGGAGGAAGAGAGCAAAGGGGGAAGTGCTACACACTTTTAAACAACAAGATCTCATCAGAACTCACTCACTATCATGAGAAGAGCAAGGAAGAAATCTTTCCCCATGATCTAATCACCTCCCACCAGACCTCTCCTCCATCACTGGAGAATCACAATTTGACATGACATTTGGGTGGGGACACAATCCAAACCATATCAAGTGCCAAACTGAAAGTGCAGGAGAGTCACATTCTCCACCAGTTACTGATGGATATAGAGTATCAACACCCCAGCTCCCTCACCCCTCTGCTAGGATAATTCCCAGGTGGGTGTTTTATGCTGTTTCCCAGAGCATCACAATAAGATTATGTCCTAGGTGCCCTCTGTAGAGCTGGCTTAATAATTCACCCCTCATTGGTGTATGCCCTTCCCTGTATAACCTTCCCCTGACCCCCTGCCCTGGCCAGAGCCCTTACCCTGGTCAGTGTCCCTACCCTTTCCGTTACTCAATCCTTAACCCAGGGTCTGTTTCTGGGAGAAGCCCAGTTGAGATACTTTACCTAGATTATAGTGGGGAAGGAGGTGATGGGAGGAATAGATAAAAACTATATTGGTTGTTCAGGGAGAAATTATTGCAACTTGGGCCAGGGTGAGGACAGAGGTGCAGTGGTGAGACATGGGCAGATTGGGGACCTGCTGATAAATTAGATGGATGGGTAGGAAAGACCCAATGTGGTTGTCTGTGCTTCTTCTTTTTTCTCTCTCTCTCTCTCTCAGGTTATTGCTGTGACCTTTTTCTACCTCATTTATTTCTCTGTTGTTTGTTCTATTTTTCCGCCCTCTCTCTTTCACCTTGCCATATCCGGCTCTCCCACACCCATCACCTCGATCTGGCTCATTAACATTATTGCAGAATTTAATTCAACTCGACACTTTTGCAGAGCACCTCGTAGGTGTCAGACACAGAGCCAAGTACCAGGGAGACGGAAATGACTACTTCACATCCAAGGTGCAATGGGCATATGGAATAAATAATAAGGATATGGCATAAAATTGCAACCAAGCCTATCTAGTGTGAGGAGAAAGTTTGGAAAAACAAAAATTGTTAGTCTTTACTAAAGAGTGTTTTTAAATCTCCATTGTAAAATCCAATGGGTATCTATTCATATATCTGTCTTGATAGACAAATGCATCCACTTGTACAGGTACATACACACAAAGAAACAAATGCATAAATAATAAATAATCCCTATCTAATTAATTGAAGTAGTTATTTTGCAATGTGAACCTTCAAGAGAAAAGAGATTTTCACCAGAAGTGGCTCACTAGAACAACAATTATTGTTTGTATAACACATTATGATTTTCAAGAAACTGTATAATTTAGCTCATTTGTCTCTTCTAACAGTTCTGTGGGGCAGGTGACATTATTACCACCCTCATCATCATCATTACCACCATCACCATTATCACTATCACCATCATTTCCATCACCATTGTCATCACCATCACCATCATCATCATTATCACCACCATCACCATTATCTCCATCAGCATCATCATCATCACCATCATCACTACCATCACCATTATCATCACCATCATCATTGCCACTATTATCATCATCATGATCATTGCTATCACCATCATCAACATCATTATCATGACCATCACATCATCACCATCATTATCACCATCAACACCATCACTGTCATCACCATCACCATCATCACTATCACCATCATCATCACCATCATCATCGCCACTATTATCATCATCATGATCATTGCCATCACCATCATCACCATCATTATCATGACCATCACATCATCACCGTTATCATCATCACCATCACATCATCACCATCATCATTATCACCATTATCACCATCACTATCATCATCACATCACATCATCACTGTCAGCATTATCATCATCATCACCATCATATCATCACCATCATCATCATCACCATCATTACATCAGCAGCATCATCATCCTCACTATCACTATTATCACCATCACCATCATCACCATCATCATTACCATCATCATCACCATCATCGTCATCACCATCACCATCACCATCATCGTCGTCATGTTACGGAAGACAAAACTTGGGTTCACAGAAGTTGAGCCTTTCCCAAGGCCACAGAGCTTAAAATTAATGACACCACTCCTACCCACTCCTTAGAAATGCTAAACCTTTTTCTTTCTTTCTGTACCCACTGCTGCTGCCACATACCAGAAACTTGCTTTCAAAATCATACGTGATTTGCCTTTTTCCCTCTTTCTCTTCTCTCCTTCCTGCACGTGCTTCCTGGAGTGTGAGAGCTACCGTCTTGGATCATGAGGACAAAGAGAATATGACCTAGGGGAGGGAAAGCAAGGAAAGAAGATGAGCCTTATTTTTGAGGACTGTGTGACACAAAGGCACAATGCCAGCCCTGGACCGTGTACCTCAGGGTCACCTTTACGTAAGAGAGGAACAAACTTCTGTTGCTTTAAAGCACTGTTGTTTTAGGGTTTCCGTGTCAGCCAAGCCTAATCCTGATACAACATTCAAGCTCCATGTAGCTTGCAAATAACCCCCAAGCTCTTACATCGGTACACACCCTAAACCCTCTATTACAACTACCTCCAAAGGCAGCTCAGCCATTTCTGTAATCTGATTTGCTTTTCATCCCTGCTGGAAAGGATAGAGGCAGTGACCTTCAAGGACAGTCCTGAATGAAAGGCATCCGATTGCGCCAGGTAAACATAGTGTACGGGGATAAGCGTTTGTTTGCAAAGCTCCAGCTCACCCTGAGTAATCTCGCAAAGAGCTATTAAAAAGCATTAAAAATTTAGTGTTGTCCTAAAATGCACATTTTCCATCTCGGATCAGGGTTGAGTCAGTGAAGGAAGGCAGGCAATCTTTGGCCTGAGACAACCTTTATCCCTCGTTCCAAATTAATCATCACGGCTAAATGAGTTATGAAAGCTCTCAAGCCATCGTCCTGCAAAGCTCCGGGAAAGGGAGATGGTGAATCATCATTAGACAGCTCGCCGGCTGACAGTGTGGTCACTCCAAACTCTAGCTAGGTATTACTGAGTTTCAGCCTTTCCCGTCTTCCTACGCCATCATCCTTGCATGTGGCTGACCAAATCCTGCTCTGCAAAGACCACTCATCTTCAGAACACAGTCCCTGCCTCAGGATGGTTTTTTCGACACAATAAGCTGCCAGTTATTACAGGCAGTCAGGTTTGGAGCATAAAGATGGCTCCTGTCGGAGAGCAAGCTCTTCTTGATGATACCAAGCAGTTCTGCAAGCTCTTTAGACTAAATCCGCAGAGTGCTGAGAAAGGGTAGGGCTGATCCTAGCAGATGGATGAAATGCTCAGTGGTAATATATTTACATAAGTCGGCTGACCCATGCCCAAATACCACTCTGCTGCCGACTTTGCGGAGAGCCAGGAGAGCACGCATAGAGGCGTGAGGAGCAGTCTGCAAGCTGATTCCTGATATTGCAATGAGCAAAACAGTCTTCAGAATTTACTCCCCCCGCAAAGAAAGACCTCTGGGTTTTCTCATGCCAAAAATTCAAATTTATCTTGCAGAGAGGGTGAGGATTTCATCCAGTCCAAAGAAAATGAGATGGAGGGAAAAGTATCTCAGGAAATGATTCCAAAACATTTTCAAAAGACATCGTGTGATGCTTTCAAAAACAGTGTCGGCCAGGCGCAATGGCTCAAACCTGTAATCCCAGCACTTTGGGTGCCCAATGCAGGAGGATTACTTGAGGCCAGGAGTTCAAGATCAGCCTGGGCAACAAAGCAAGACCCCATCTCTATTTAAAAAAGAAAAAAAATAGAAAAAATTAGCCAGGCTTGCTGGCACATGCCTGTAGTCCCAGCTACTTGGGGGTCTGAGGTGGGAGGATCACTTGACCCCAGGTGTTTGAGGCTGCAGTGAGCCATTATCACGTCACTGCATTACAGGCTGGACAACAGAGCAAAACCCTGTCTTTAAAAAAAAAGGTTAAAGAAAAAACTGTTTACAAGAATGTGACAAAGGTTTTGTGTGTATGTCTGTGTTGTGGGGAAACAGGATGAGACAGCAGATAAAGAAAACACAGGGACCAGGCGTGGTGGTTCATGCCTGTAATCCCAGCACTTTGGGAGGTCGAGGCAGGTGAATCACGAGGTCAGGAGTTTGAGACCAGCCTGGCCAACATGGAGAAACCCTGTCTCTAGTAAAAATACAAAAATTAGCTGGGCATGGTGGCAGGCACCTGTAATGCCAGCTACTTGGGAGGCTGAGGCAGGAGAATTGCTTGAACCCGGAAAGCAGAGGTTGCAGTGAGCTGAGATCACACCACTGCACTCCAGCCTGGGCAACAGAGCAAGGCTCTGTCTCAAAAAAAAAAAGAGGCTGGGCACGGTGGCTCACGCCTGTAATCCCAGCACTCTGGGAGGCCGAGGCAGGCAGTTCACGAGGTCAGGAGATCGAGACCATCCTTGCTAACACGGTGAAACCCTTTCTCTACTAAAAATACAAAAAAATTAGCGAGGTATGGTGGCGGGCGCCTGTAGTCCCAGCTACTCGGGAGGCTGAGGCAGGAGAATGGTGTGAACCCGGGAGGTGGAGCTTGCAGTGAGCCGAGATCACGCCACTGCACTTCAGCCTGGGCAACAGAGTGAGACTCCGTCTGAAAAAAAAAAAAAGAAAAAAAAAAGAAAAGAAATCACAGGACCTGATTTTAATTTTAATTTAATTTAATTTATACTACTGACTAAAATAGCATTTTCAGGCCGGGCACAGTGGTTTATGCCTGTAATGTCAGCACTTTTTGGGAGTCCAAGATGAAGGGTGCTCAGAAGTTGGAGTGGCTCTCACTGGAAATGCCGAGTTATGAAGATCGAATGAATAGGACAGATTGGAAAATTCAAAAGTGTAGGAAGATCAATTCTTTCAAAACTGATTTATTGAGTTTCATGACTGTTTAATGTGAGTCTCCCTTGGAGGCTACTAGTAACCGTGAAACCAGGACACAAGTTTATTTGTTCACTTTTTTTTTTTTTGAGGTGGAGTCTCGCTCTGTTGCCCAGGCTGGAGTGCAGTGGCGCGATCTCAGCTCACTGCAACCTCCGCCTCCAGGGTTTAAGCAATTCTCCTGACTCAGCCTCCAGAGTAGCTGGGATTATAGGTGCCCGCCACCACGCCTGATTAATTTTTGTATTTTTAGTAGAGATGGGGTTTCACCATGTTGGTCAGGCTGGTCTCGAACTCCTGACCTCGTGATCTGCCCGCCTCGGCCTCCCAAAGTGCTGGGATTACAGGCATGAGCCACCACGCCCTGCCCCAAACATGCTTTTAACATAGTTATTGCAAATGTGTCAAAGTATGCCATTCAAAGAACAATCACAACAATAAGAATACACTTCAGTTGAGTGAAAGACCAAACCTTCACTGTACATGACCTACTGGACACTCTATATGTAAAGACCTTAGGCAAATTCAAGTGTGAATTTAAGGCAGAAAATAGCAAATGGGGTGAAAACGGAAATTTTATATTCCTCAAAGCCACAGTGGAGAGTGAATATTTAATCTCCAGCAGCCTTCCTGTGTCAGCACAAAATTAAATAAATAAGCCAATAGGGGCAGGGCACGGGTGGCTCACGCCTGCAATCCCAGCACTTTGGGTGGCTGAGGTGGGTGGATCACGAGGTCAGGAGATTGAGACCATCCTGGCCAACATGGTGAAACCCCGTCTCTACTAAAATACAAAAAAAAAAAAAAAAAATTAGCTCGGCGTCATGGTGCACACCTGTAGTCCCACCTACTTGGGAGGCTGAGGCAGGAGAATCGCTTGAACCCGAGAGGCGGAACTTGCAGTAAGCTGAGATCATGCCACTGCACTCCAGCCTGGCGACAGAGCAAGACTCCAAAATACTTTATTTGTGAAATGCTCTTGAACATTTACAGAAATCAATTCAATAGAAATGAGGAAGAGCGGCCGGGCGTGGTGGCTCGCACCTGTAAATCCCAGCACTTTGGGAGGCCGAGGTGGGTGGATCACCTGAGGTCAGGAGTCCGAGACCAGCCTGGCCAGCTGTGGGGAAAAAAAAGAGAGATCAGACTGTTACTATGTGTGTGTAGAAAAAGGAAGACATAAGAAACTCCATTTTGATCTGTACTAAGAAAAATTGTTCTGCTTTGAGATGCTGTTAACCTGTAACTTCAGCCTTAACCGTGTGCTCACAGAAACATGTGCTGTGTCTTGTTAACAATAGATTTGCAGGCAGCCTGCTTGGTAAAAGTCATCGCCATTCTCCATTCTCCATTAACCAGGGACACCATGCACTGCGGAAAGCCGCAGGGACCTCTGCCCGAGAAAGCCTGGGTATTGTCCGAGGTTTCCCCCCACTGAGACAGCCTGAGATATGGCCTCATGGAGAGGGAAAGACCTGACCATCCCCCAGCCCGACACCCATAAAGGGTCTGTGCTGAGGAGGATTGGTAAACGAGGGAGGTCTCTTTGCAGTTGAGATAAGAGGAAGGCCTCTATTTCCCGCATGTCCCCGGGAATGGAATGTCTCCATGTAAAGCCGACCATTCCTTCTATTCTGATAGGAGAAAACTGCCCTGTGGCTGGAGGCGAGCTATGCTGGCAGCAATCCTACTCTGTTACTCTTCGCTACACTGAGATGTTTGGGTAAAGAGAAACATAACTCTAGCCTACGTGCACATCCGGGCACAGTACCTTCCCTTGAACTTATTTATGATGCAGATTCCTTTCCTCACATGTCTTCCTGCTGACATTCTCCCCACCATCACCCTATTCTCCTGCCACACTCCCCTTGCCAAGATAGTGAAAATAGTTATCAATAAATACTGACGGAACTCAGAGACCAGCGCTGGTGCAGGACCTCACATGCTGAGTGTGCCGGTCCCCTGGACTCACTATTCTTTCTCTATACTTTGTCTCTGTGTCTTATGTCTTTTCTCAGTCTCTTGTGTCCACCTGATGAGAAATACCCACAGGGGTGGAGGGGCTGGCCCCCTTCAGCCAACATGGCAAAACCCCATCTCTACTAAAAATACAAAAATTATCTGGTCGTGGTGGCGCACGCCTATAGTCCCAGTTCATCGGGAGGCTGAGACGGGAGACTCGCTTGAGCCCAGGAGGTTGAGGCTGCAGTGAGGTGTGATCGTGCCACTGCACTCCAGCCTGGGTGACAGAGCCAGACTCTATCTCAGAAAAAAAAAAGAGTGAGGTAGGACTAACTAAAACAGGTACAGGGCAGAAGCACCTCTGTGTCAGACACACCCACCAGTGTGCCATGTCAGTTTACCGTTGCCATGGCAACAATCCAATGATCCGGACGTTACCGCCCTTTTTCTAGAAATTTCTGCATCACCGCCCCTTCATTTGCATGTAATTAGCAGTGGGTATCAATATGCCTGTAGAACTGCCTCTAAGCTTCTGCTCCAGGTGCATTGCCTACGGGGTAGCCCCGCTCTGGAAGGATCCAAGCGTTTGCCGCTGCTGTGCACGGCCAGGATGCTTCAATAAAACCTGCTGTGTAGGCCCAGCGCGGTGGCTAAGGCCAGTAATCGCAGCACTTTGGGAGGCCGAGGCGGGCAAATCACTTGAGGTCGGGAGTTCGAGACCAGCCTGGCCAACATGGTGAAACCCCGTCTCTACTAAAAATACGAAAATTAGCTGGGCGTGGTGGTGCGTGCCTGTAGATCCAGTTAATCGTGAGGCTGAGGCAGGAGAATTGCTTGAACCCGGGAAGTGGAGGCTGCAGTGAGCTGAGATCACGCCACTGCACTCCAGCCTGGGCAACAACAGAGGATAATTAATAAATAATTGCGCTACTGCACTCCAGCCTGGATGATAGAGTGAGACCCCATCTCAAAAAAAAAAAAAGTTGCTGTCTAACACCACCGGCTCGCCCTTGAATTCTTTTCTGGGCAAAGCTAAGAACCCTCTTAGGTTACCCTGATGTAGGGGCTCACCTGCCCTGCATCAGAAGGGCTCACCTTTTTCTCTCTACCCTCTGGCCTCACCTGGCATAATCAGGCTCAGTGAGAACATGCTGGAATAGGGTTGATGAGTCAGAGGTTGGATTTGACTCGTGCCTCGCTGGGGATCAATTCTCATAGCCCACAATCCAGCACTCCTGACAGTCAGGTGTGATAACCCAATGCATAGATGAAAGCAGGTGCATTGTGGCTGAGTGCCCAGGGACATGATACGTAGCCTATTTATTAATTATCCTCTGTTTTCAAGCATCTGGGATCTCCCTGATTCCTCTGCAGGACATGCTGAAACCTCAATGACTTGGGTACCTACATTTACCATTTGTTTTTGTTCTTGTTCTTTGTTGTTTTTTTCGTGAGTTTTTGTTTTGTTTTGTGTTTTAGACGGAGTCTCGCTCTGTTGCCAGGCTGGAGTGCAATGGGCTATCTCAAGTCACCACAACCTCTGCCTCCAGGGTTCAAGCGATTCTCCTGCCTCAGCCTCCCGAGTAGGTGGGATTACAGGCGCCCACCACCACGCCCGGCTGACATTTGTATTTTTGGTAGAGACAGGGTTTCACCATGTTGGCCAGGCTGGTCTCAAACTCCTGACCTCAGGTGATCTGACTGACCGCCTCAGCCTCCCAAAGTGCCGGGAGGACAGGCGTGAGCCATCACGCCCGGCCGATTATCGTCTGTTTTTATGCATTCAGTGTCCCCTTGATTCCTCTGCAGGAGATGCTGAAACCTCAATGACTTGGGTACCTACGGTTAATCCATTCCCTTTCTTCCCAGTGTGTCTCCCTGAACCACCTAGTTTAGTCACCTTCAGCGCCCCTGCGCCTAGCTCAAGTAGGCATTCCATAAAGAATTGCTGGATACATAAGCCAATGCGTGGCCCAGAGGCACGGCGTGAATTCCAAGACAGCCGAGGCTGGATTGATGATAACGGCAGACCATGCTTTTGCATTCTCATTGGACATCTACACCCTGGTGGAGAGTCTGTAATAAAAATGCAATTTCCACATGTGGATTTCCAAGCTCTTTGCTCAGGAAAGAGGTGGCTTGACAGGAATCCTTTCCAGCGCAAGAGGAAGTCATTGACCTTGAAGCTGGTCAGCTTCTTGGACCTGGCTTTCAACGCCAGGCCCGCCTGGGTTGTGTGTCCTTGCAGAAGTCATTTTCATCTTTGGAAGTTTTTCCTTTCTCGGGAAAAGATGAGTATTATGAACGGAACTGTGTCTCACTAAATTCCTAGGTTGAACCCCTGACCCCCAGGACCTCAAGATGTGACTGTGTTTGGAGTTGGGGTGTTTAAAGAGGGGATTAAGGTAAAATGAGGTCAGTAGGGTGGGCCCTTATCCAATAGGACTGGGGTCCTTATAAGAAGAGGACATGAGGACACAGACACACACAGAGGGGAGACCCTGTGAGGACACAGGGAGAAGATGGTGTCTCCAAGCCCAGGAGAGAGGCCTCAGGAGGAACCAGCCCTGCCCACACCTGGATCTCAGACTTCCAGCCTCCAGGACTGTGGGAGAATCAATGTCTGCTGTTTATAAGCCACCCAGCCTCTGGTATTCTGTGACAGCAGCCTGAGATGGACTAAGCCATCTCATAAGGAGAGGAGATGGGGACACAGACACACACAGAGGGACGACCCTGTGAGGGCACAGGGAGAAGACGGCATCTCCAAGCCCAGGAGAGAGGCCTCAGGAGGAACCAGCCCTGCCCACACCTTGATCTTGGACGTCCAGCCTCCAGGGCTGTGGGAGAATCAATGTCTGTTGTTTCTAAGCCACCCAGTCTATGGTATTCTGTGATAGCAGCCTGAGATGGACTAAGACACCTCATAAGAAAAGGAGACGAGGACACAGACACACATAAAGGGGCGACCCTTTGAAGACACAGGAGAAGACGTCATCTACAAGCCAAGGAGAGTGGCCTCAGGAGGAATCAGCCCAGCTCACATCTTGATCTCGGACTTCCAGCCTCCAGGACTGTGGGAGAATCAATGTCTGCTGTTTAACCCTCCCAGTCTCTGATATTTTGTTACGGCAGTGTGAGAATAGTAATACAAGGAATTATGATAATTGTCTTATCAGGATAATATATACTCAAGGTGATGAGAATCATATAAATCAATGCAACGTGAACACACTCTCTTAGCTATCATCTTTCTTTTCATTTAAAGAAACAGAGGACAGGCCGGGCGCAGTGGCTCATGCCTGTAATCCCAGCACTTTGGGAGGCTGAGGCAGGTGGATCACCTGAGGTCAGGAGTTTGGGACCAGCATGACCAACATGGTGAAACCCCGTCTCTACTAAAAATACAAAAATTAGCCAGGCGTGGTGGCGGGTGCCTGTAATCCCAGCTACTGGGGAGGCTGAGGCAGGAGGATTGCTTGAACCCGGGAGGCAGAGGTTGCAGTGAGCCGAGATCCAGCCACTGCACTCCAGCCTGGGCAACAAGAGTGAAACTCCACCTCAAAAAAAAAACGAAAAATAAAAAGAAACAGAGGACATAGGAAATCATGTTTACTTGTTGACTTTGGTTAAACAGAAGACAAGAGGGTGATTTCTGGATTCTGTAGAACTGAGACACTGTGTGTGTGTCTGTGTGTGTGTGTGTGCCTGTGTGTGTGTCTGTGTGTGTGTGTGTGTCTTTGTGTGTCTATGTCTGTGTGTTTGTGTGTGTGTCTCTGTATGTGTCTGTGTCTGTGTGTGTTTGTGTGTGTCTGTGTGTGTCTTTGTGTCTGTATGTGTCTCTGTGTGTTTGTGTGTGTCTTTGTGTGTCTGTGTATGTGTGTTTGTGTGTGTGTCTTTGTGTGTGTCTGTGTCTGTGTGTGTCTGTCTGTGTATGTTTGTGTCTGTGTGTCTGTGTGTGTCTGTATGTGTCTGTGTGTGTCTGTATGTGTACATATGTGTGTGTGTCTGTGTCTGTGTGTACACGTGTGTGTGTCTATGTGTGTGTCTCTGTGTATCTTTGTGTGTGTCTGTGTGTGTGTGTACACATGTATTTGTGTGTCTGTGCGTGCATATGCCTGCATGCACCTGTGTGTGTAGGGAGGTAAGACAGGTACCTAATGATGGAAATCGTAATCATGGAAAAATAAAGGGTTAGCAACATCAGTCCAGGTTTTAGTCATTGCCACGAAAATAGCAAGGTACTGACCATTTTGGTATATTCTGATTTTCCAGAAGAAAAAGGAACAGCTTTCCCGGGAGAATTACAATCATTCGGGTAATGACTATGATCATTTGATGGAAACGTTAAATGAATTCTATTGGGGTTTCTCTGAAACAAATCTATTTTAAAGCAGCTGCCTATTTAAACCAAATCCTTCAGCTTCCAGTAATAACTCAAAAATGACCACCATTTAAAAGCCAGCCCAGCCCAGCCTCTGGTCACTTAGCAATCAAGGATACGTGACTGAATGCTGCCAAATCATGAGATGACCTGTGATGTACCCCTCTGCCAGCAGTCATCCTTGTATTCAAATGCCTCTAGTCACAATCTCAGACGTTCAGAGAAAAGGCACGCAGCGATGATACAATGCAATCTTGATTCTTTAATATTTGCTCGAGGAAATGATGGGACTCAAATGCAGCCGGCACGGACACGGGAGGATTTCAGCGCGACGCTGACAGCTGTTCGTTAGGCACGGATGAAGCTGTGTCCGTCCCAGCATTTCATTCTGCCGGCCTCAGACATTCTCTCATGGGAAGTCCAGGACGCCAGTGACTCGTGGAGAATGTGAAATTGCAGCAGGAAAAAGAGAGACAGAGAGGGAGGCAGAGACAGAGAGGGAGAGACAGAGAGACAGAGAGGGAGACAGAGACAGAGAGACATGCAGAGAGACAGGGAGGCAGAGACAGAGAGACAGGGAGACAGAGACAGAGTGACAGAGATAGGGACAGACAGAGACAGGCAGAGAGGGAGACAGAGACAGAGAGACAAGCAGAGAGACAGGGAGGCAGAGACAGAGAGAAGCAGAGAGAGAGACAGAGGCAGAGAGAGAGACAGAGAGAGGCAGAGAGACAGAGGGAGGCAGAGAAGAGAGACAGAGACAGAGAGAGAGACAGAGATAGAGACAGGCAGAGAGGGGACAGAGACAGAGAGACAGAGGCAGTGACAGAGACAGAGGGGGGACATAGACAGAGAGACCGAGGCAGACAGGGAGACAGAGAGGGACTGAGAGGGAAGGAGACAGAGAGAGAGACTGGGAGCAGGGGAGAAAGAGAGAGAGAGACAGAGAGACAGAGAAAAGAGAGAGAGAAGGAAGACACAGAAAGAGACAGGGAAAGGGATGAGAGAGAAGCAGTAGGAGAGGGGAGGACAGGCTGAACCGGGCTGGTAGGAGGGCAGTGGCCGTGAGGAAGGAGCCGCCACCATCAGACAGGCACCTCCCCTGCTTGATTTTCCTTCTGTGTCCGGCGGGCATGGGGCGGTAGCTCGCCACGCCTTGGCCGGGACCAGAGCACATGGGGCTACTGCAGCCTTAACGGGGAGTCACAGTTAAATGAACTTAGCTGCCCCTTCCTGTGGACGGCTCGAATGGCCACACAGCGGACAAGATGATTGCGCCATATGAACCGGATCAGAGGCAAAGGGAGAAAATGAACTCCTCGGAGACTTACAGATAAATTCGTTAAGAGATTGTGACTCTTACCGTATCTGCTTTCTTAGGAGGAGATTTCACAAGATGCTGCTAATAAATGATGACTTGGAAAAAATCCAGATTGTGGAGAATGTGGATTTCAATCCCACCCTGGGGATGATCTATGAATAGAAATGAGAGGAGGAGAAAAATGAGTGTGAGGCTTATGACTCCACCAGGTGTCTTTCTGGCAGTGATGATGGTTTTGCCATTGGATTCTGAATTTTAGAGCACAAAGCGGTCTGGAATTAATGGAGTTCCAAGTCTCTGGCGCTCAGGCAGGTGCCCAAGCTTGTCATCACTACGTATTCCTGGACGCAGAGTGGAACTCTGAAGGATAGTTAGGGTCTGTTGTGCTGTCCCCATAAAATATGAGGTCTTGGCTGGGCACGGTGGCTCACTCCTGTAATCCCAGCACTTTGGGAGGCCGAGGTGGGTGGATCATTTGAGGTTAGGAGTTTGAGACCAGCCTGGCCAACATGGTGAAACCCCGTCTCTACTAAAATCACAGAAATTGGTTGGGCGCGGTGGCTCACGCCTGTAATCCCAGCACTTTGGGAGGCCGACGCAGGCAGATCACAAGGTCAGGAGATCGATACCATCCTGGCTAACACGGTGAAACCCTGTCTCTACTAAAAATACAAAAAAAAAAAAAAAAAAAATTAGCTGGGCATGGTGGCGGGCACCTGTAGTCCAAGCTACTCGGGAGGCTGAGGTAGGAAAATGGCTTAAACCAGGGAGGCGGAGCTTGCAGTGAGCTGAGATTGTGCCACTGCACTCTAGCCTGGGTGACAGAGCGAGACTCCATCTCAAAAATGAAAAATAAAAAAATCACAAAAATTAGCCAGACGTGGTGTTGTACGCCTGTAGTCCCAGCTACTTGGGAGGCTGAGGCAGGACAATTGCTGGAGCCCAGGAGGCAGAGGTTGCAGTGAGCTGAGATCATGCCACTGCACTCCAGCCTGGGTGACAGAGCAAGACTCTGTCTAAAAAAAAAAAAAAAGTACAGAGACACAGAGACAGAGAGACACAGAGGGAGACAGAGACAGAGAGGCAGAGAGGGAGGCAGAGACAGAGAGACAGAGAGGGAGGCAGAGACAGAGAGACGGAGGCTCTTAGCAAGCTGCTGGTTTTCTCAGGGTTGGGGGCACGCAGTAATTATTTCGGGATATAAGGATTCATGGATAATTCTCTACATACTTACCTGGTGTATTAGTCTGTTCTCGCACTGCTAATAAAGATTAGTTAATTTATAAAGAAAGAAAAAATTTATAATTTTTTATATATAATAATTTTTTATATATAATAATTTATAATAAAGACTGGTTAATTTATAAAGAAAGAAAAAACAGTTTAATGGACTCACAGTTCCACATGGCTGGGGAGACCTCACAATCAAAACCCCGTGTTTTTCAGTAGAGACGGGGTTTCTCCACGTTGGCCAGCTGTTCTCGAACTCCTGACCTCAGGTGATCCACCCGCCTCGGGTTCCCAAAGTGCTGGGATTACAGGCATGAGCCACCGTGCCCAGCCCATAAATTCTTATTTTCAAAGAGTCTCATCGTCCATGGGTCTCATGCAGGCTAATTCGCCACATGTACTGGGTTGGTGCAACAGTCACTGCAGTTTTTCCCATTAAAAGGGGTGAAAGGAAAGTACTTTGGGCCCCTTCAAGCTGGGAGCTGCTTACGGCCAACCTGCCTCCCATTTTATTCAAAGTTACCCCTGTGCTCACTGAGACAGATGCCATATCTAGTTGCCTCCTTTGGAAAGGGTCATCAGACACTCAAAAGAATGTAGCCATTCAGGCGATCACTAAAAAGTCAGGAAACAACAGGTGCTGGAGAGGATGTGGAGAAATAGGAACGCTTTTGCACTGTTGGTGGGAGTGTAAACTAGTTCAACCATTGTGGAAGACAGTGTGGCCATTCCTCAAGGATCTAGAACCAGAAATACCATTTGACCCAGCCATCCCATGACTGGGTATATACCCAAAGGATTATAAATCATGCTACTATACAGAGACATGCACATGTATGTTTATTGCGGCACTGTCCACAATAGCAAAGACTTGGAACCAACCCAAATGTCCATCAATGATAGAATGGATTAAGAAAACGTGGCACATAGACACCATGGAATACTATGCAGCCATAAAAAAGGATGAATTCATGTCCTTTGTACCGACATGGATGAAGCTGGAAACCATCTTTCTGAGCAAACTATCGCAAGGACAGAAAACCAAACACTGCACGTTCTCACTCATAGATGGGAATTGAACAATGAGAACACTTGGACACAGAGTGGGGAACATCACACACCGGGGCCTGTCGTTGGGGGGGGGGGGATGGGGGAGGGAGAGCATTAGGAGATATACCTAATGTAAATGACGAGTTAATGGGTGCAGCAAACCAACATGGCACATGTATACCTATGTAACAAACCTGCACGTTGTGCACATGTACCCTAGAACTTATATATATATATATATATAAAATATATATATACACACACTAAATATATAATATATATATAAGAATGTAGTCATTCATCTCTCTGGACCTGGAATCCCCCTCCCTGCTTCCAGTCTCCATTCAAGCTGGGAGCTGCTTAGGGCCAACCTGCCTCCCACTTTATTCAAAGTTGCCCCTCTGCTCACTCAGATAGATGCAAATCTGATTGCCTCCTTTAGAAACGCTCATCAGAAACTCAAAATAACGCAGCCATTTGTCTCTTATCTATCTGTGATCTGGAAACCCCCTTCCCGCTTAGAGTCTTCCTGCCTTTGTTTGAACTCGTCCCACCTTCCCAGACTGAACCAATGTACTTCTTACATATGTTGATTGATGTCTCATGCCTTTCTAAAATGTATAAAACCAAGTTTTGCCCCAACCACCTTGGGTACATGTCATCGGGACCTCCTGAGGGTGTGTCACAGGTGCCCGTCGTCAACCCTGAAAAAATAAACTTTCTAAACTTACCGCCACCTGTCTGACGTTTTCAGGGTTCACAAAAGCAATGGCAAAAACCGCCATTACTTTTCATCAATCTGATGGAAGGGTCACATTAACGTGAGGACGAAGCTCTGTCTTTTTTTTTTTCTTTAATCTTGCCCAAATGCCTATCTAAGGGAGCTGGAAAGTCATGCCCTAGAAACCATTCATTCTCGTTTTATTTATTTGTTTTTGAGACAGAGTCTCTCTCTGTCACCCAGGCTGGAGTGCAGTGGCACAACCTCGGCTCACTGCAGCCTCCGCCTCCCAGGTTCAAGTGACAGGAGATAAAAGTGTGAACCACAAGGGCAGATCACCTGAGACTCTGTTACATGCGTGAGTTTTCAAAAACGTGTTAAAAATATAGCCGTCCAAAATGCACCTTCTTTTGGACTCTCCAAGTATTTATTTTAGCCTGGTGATGTTTCTTCTCTCCAGTGCTGTTCCGAAGGGGCCAGAAGGACTCAACTCCAACTGACTGCACTATTCTCAGTGCACCCAATCCCACAGCCCGGCACAATTGACATCGTTGCGTTGCGTGCTGACTGTAATCATGTGATTTTTGGTGGGAAATGCATAAATGCAGATGCTGAAAGTAAATACAGCTGTGTTTTCCTAGTGTGTCCCTGTTGAAAATAATTTTGGATAATTTGAGCGATTGTATTTCATCAACAATGTCATTAGCAACAGGTTGGAGGGTTTTTGAAAACACAATGAACCAGGCGGGGTGGCTCACGTCTGGAATCCCAGCACTTTGGGAGGCTGAGGTGGGTGGATCGCTTGAGGTCAGGGGTTTGAGAACAGCCTGGGCAACATGGGGAAACCCCATTTCTACTAAAAATACAAAAAAACTACCTCGGCATGGTGTAAAAATTATGGAGTAAAAATAATTCAAGTTGTGAAATACTCCGTATGATACAATTTATCTACAAAACTTACAAAAGCAATCTATGTTGCTATAAGCACTTATTAATAATTATATATATTATATATGTCTCACATGTACAGAAAAATATATACAGACGTATAGAGTTAGTAATATGTATTTATAGACACACATATCATATGCACAGTTTGAGTATATACACATCTACATGTACAAACACAGTTTGTACACACACACACACACACACACATAGACACACACATACACACACATCTCAAAATAGCATTTCCTGGGCAGGGTGGTGGGCACCTGTAATCCCAGCTACTCGGGAGGCTGAGGCAAGGGAATGGCTTGAACCCGGGAGGTGGAGGTTGCAGTGAGCTGAGATCATGCCACTGCACTCCAGTCTGGGCAACAGAGTGAGACTGTGTTTCAAAACAAACAAACAAAGAGACAGCCTCTTTTCGATGCAAAATAGAATAACACACGTCACCCATCCTGGAGCCCTAGATTTCCAAGTTAGTTGGTGTCTGGACCTCTGAGAGGGAAAACATCCAAAAACGATTTAGCCAGGCAGGCACGGGTGGCCCATGTCTGTAGTCCTAGCTACTTGGGAGGCTGAGGCAGGAGGATGACTCCAGCCTGGGCGAAACTGCAACAACACCCTGTCTCAAAAATAAATAAAGATTAATACAATAAAATGAAAACCGAATGAATGGAACAGAAACAGGGCCTCCTCTCTATGATTGTACGGCTGCATATTGAAGGGAGATGGGTCTTTTCCCATCTCCTAGGTGATGTTTGTTCACAGTTCATATAAGAGATTTACGGCTGGGCGCGGTGGCTCACGCCTGTAATCCCACCACTTTCGGAGACCTAGGCGGGCGGATCACGAGGTCAGGAGGTCGAGACCATCCTGGCTAACACGGTGAAACCCCATCTCTACTAAAAATACAAAAAATCAGCCGGGCGTGGTGGCGGGCGCCTGTAGTCCCAGCTACTTGGGAGGCCGAGGCAGGAGAATGGCGTGAACCTGGGAGGCGGAGCTTGCAGTGAGCCGATATTGTGCCACTGCACTCCAGCCTGGGTGACAGAGTGAGACTCTGTCTTAAAAAAAAAAAAAAAAAAAAAAGGGAGATTTATAAGGAAGTCACTAAAGGCTTTATTAATAATTATTATTAATGTGGTAAAAATCACATAACATAAAATCCACCCTAACTTTTTTTTGTAAGTGGTTTGGCAAATACACCTGCCACACAATTCCAAGAACCAGCAATTTGTCAGCAAGTCAGAATCAGACTATTCTTACTTCTGGCCTTGAGAGGCTGCTTCTCAGCACAGGCAAAGCTGGATATAAAGACAGAAGGGTACAGATAACCGGAGTGAGGAGTGGGACGATAAGGAGATAAGCTGTCCTCATTCGTCTAAACCTGAGTGTCATTGCGGAGTCAACCACCACGTGCTGTACGTAATCTGCTCCCTTTGTGGGGACGATGAGAAGTTTCTGGAACCAGCGTGAAGCAAGGACAATCCCCAGGGCAGAATGACTAAGCCACCAGGAATTCATTGTGGGGACGGTGAGAAGTTTCTGGAACCAGTGTGAAGCAAGGACAATCCCCAGGGCAGAATGACTAAGCCACCAGGAATTCATTGTGGGGGTGATGAGAAGTTTCTGGAACCAGTGTGAAGCAAGGACAATCCCCAGGGCAGAATGACTAAGCCACCAGGAATTCATTGTGGGGGTGATGAGAAGTTTCTGGAACCAGTGTGAAGCAAGGACAATCCCCAGGGCAGAATGACTAAGCCACCAGGAATTCATTGTGGGGACGGTGAGAAGTTTCTGGAACCAGTGTGAAGCAAGGACAATCCCCAGGGCAGAATGACTAAGCCACCAGGAATTCATTGTGGGGGTGATGAGAAGTTTCTGGAACCAGTGTGAAGCAAGGACAATCCCCAGGGCAGAATGACTAAGCCACCAGGAATTCATTGTGGGGACGGTGAGAAGTTTCTGGAACCAGTGTGAAGCAAGGACAATCCCCAGGGCAGAATGACTAAGCCACCAGGAATTCATTGTGGGGGCCGTGAGGAGTTTCTGGAACCAGTGTGAAGCAAGGACAATCCCCAGGGCAGAATGACTAAGCCACCAGGAATTCATTGTGGGGGTGATGAGAAGTTTCTGGAACCAGTGTGAAGCAAGGACAATCCCCAGGGCAGAATGACTAAGCCACCAGGAATTCATTGTGGGGACGGTGAGAAGTTTCTGGAACCAGTGTGAAGCAAGGACAATCCCCAGGGCAGAATGACTAAGCCACCAGGAATTCATTGTGGGGACGGTGAGAAGTTTCTGGAACCAGTGTGAAGCAAGGACAATCCCCAGGGCAGAATGACTAAGCCACCAGGAATTCATTGTGGGGGCCGTGAGGAGTTTCTGGAACCAGTGTGAAGCAAGGACAATCCCCAGGGCAGAATGACTAAGCCACCAGGAATTGAGCCTAACAAATATTTAAGTATACCCTACGGTATTGTTAAACGAACATACCTAGGACAGGTGCGGTGGCTCAAGCCTGTAATTCCAGCACTTTGGGAGGCCAAGGCGGGCGGATCACGAGGTCAGGAGTTCGAGACCAGCCTGGCCAACATGGTGAAACCCCGTGTCTACTAAAAATACAAAAATTAGCTGGGGTGGGCGGATCACCTGAGGTCAGCAGTTCGAGACCAGCCTGGCCAACTTGGCAAAACCCCATTTCTACTAAAAATACAAAAATTATCTGGCCGTGGTGGTGGGAGCCCATAGTCCCAGCTACTCGGGAGGCTGAGTCAGGAGAATCACTTGAACCCAGGAGGCAGAGGTTGCAGTGAGCAGAGATTGCACCACTGCACTCCAGCCTCGGTGACAGAGCGAGACTCCGCCTGAAAAAAAAAAAAAAAGTAAGCAGTGCTGCTGATTTCCACAATCAATATGACATTATTCTGACCCATGGGGAAACATGGCAGGAAACCTCATCCCGAAGCTTTTCCCAGGAACCACAGCCCTGAGCCATCTGAGAAGGACAGAGCCCTGGGAGGCAGGTACCTGAGGGTATCGTGCAAAGCAGCCCTGTTCAAAAGACCCGGATCCTGGGGACCAGGTAAGAACAGGTGTGTCCCAGAGCAGCCTCTGCCTCTCAACAATATCCAGCGTGCCAGGAGTCAGGGCCCCTGGGTGTCAGTGCGGACTCCTGTAACGTCAGTGACCTTCTAACCTCAAGCGGGTTACAGCCCATCCCTGGGTGTTAGCTTTTGGGGCTATGATGAGGGGACATGAGGAAGACTGTCTCAGGGGTCTCTGCATGCCTGCAGGGCTGGTTCCCTATAGATAGGTAATGGGCAATGGGGCCCTCACTGCTGGGCTGGGAGGAGAAGGGATTTATGGATATAACAACAAGGGACCGAGTGTCCTTGAAGCACAAATAGGACATTAAGAGGTGGTGGGAAGAGCGAGTGTCTCTCTAGCTTCAACCCTCTTCCTGTTTGCCCCGAGAATACTCACGGGCTGTACTTGTGGCAGCAGCATTTACTCTGAGATAACACTGCCACACGTATCTTTTGTTTTTTTTGAGATGGATCCTCGCTCTGTCACCCAGGCTGGAGTGCAATGGTTGTGATCTCGGCTCACTGCAACCTCCGCCTCCTGGGTTCAAGCAATTCACCTGCCTCAGCCTTCCGAGTAGCTGGGATTACAGGCGCCCGCCACCACGTCGGGCTAATTTTTGTATTTTTAGTAGAGATGGGGTTTCACCGTCTTGGCCAGGCTGGTCTTGAACTCCTGACCTCAGGTGATCCGTCCACCTCGGCTTCCCAAAGTGCTGGGATGACCACCGTGCTCAGCCTCAGTATCTCATTTTTATGATTATTTTCTCATCATTCTAATATGTCAACTTTGGAAACGGAAGACGTCATCCTATTTATACCATTCTGTCTTAATAGTGGTATTTCCATTTGAAATATAATCATTCTCGATCGCTGAAAATGTCGAATCCTAGAAAACATATCATTGCCGCATGTGATATTAACATCGTTCTACAACAGTTGTTGGCTGAAGGTTTGTTGGATGAATCCAATTTTTCCAAACCAGATGAGTCTGATGATTCAGGCGATTCTGATGTAACGTCTTTTTAGAAATAAATCCTAGAGCAGGTTTTATATTTTACGTTCATGTTGAAAATCAGTTAGATTTATGATGGAACATGTTTATGTAAAATTAAATGCGTGCTGGCCGAGAGACCTCAGTTTATTTTTCTAAATGAGAAACATCTCCAACTCACCTTCTCTCTCTAGGGTGCCTGTGTGATACCAGATGATGCTCAAGGCCCCCTGAGTCTCTTCCCCAATTTTAAGCCTGTCCCCAGCCCAGAGGTGTTGACGCCCTTTGCCATCATCTACCTTCTCAGCCTGTGGACGCACTTGGCTCACTCTTGCGTTCTGAGGACCTCCATGGTGCCTGATACACAGTAGGTGCCTAATCACTGTTTTCTGGAATGCTTCCATGAGCTCACCCCAGGCAGAGCAGGGCTCTGCCTTCCGCGGAGCTGCCTTCCCCAGCTCTGCGCTGGGCTCCAGGGCAAAGCAAATGGGTACACGAATTTGCAAATTTGCATTTCTGCATCTCCACCGTTCCATCGCCCCCGGAGTCTGACTCACACTTCTGCCGTATTCTCTTTCTCCGATCGTCTCCCTCATGCCTTTATTAGTCCACAGCAGTGTGCAGCAGGCTGCTGGATGCTGAAGAGATAAAGGATCGTGGCAAACAGAAGGGGTGCAAATCCTGAGTCCCAGTACCTACGAGTGAAACCCTGTTTGGAAACAATTTTTTTTTTTTTTTTGCAGGTGAAACTAACTTAAGATGAGATCATCCTGGATTAGGGTGGGTCCTAAATACAACGACAGATGTCCTTCTAAAAGACAGAAGAGGAGACACAGAGGATGAGGCCACATGGAGACGGAGGCAGAGACTGGAGTGATGCGGCCACAAGCCCAGGGATGCCTGGAGCCCCCAGGAGCTGGGAGAGGCAGGAAGGACCCTCCCCTAGAGCCTCTAGAGAAGGCTAAATGAAATTGTAATGAATTCAACTATTGTCCACCAGAAAGATATGTCCACACCCTCACCCCCAGAACTTGTGAATGGGAGCTTACTTTGAAATAAGATCCTTGCAGATGCAAGTAGTAAAATATTTTAAGATGAGATCATCCTGCATTAGATGGACCATGAATCCAATCATTGCTGTCTCTATAACAGACAGAGGAGGAGAACAGACACAGAGGGTAAGGCCGCATGGAGATGGAGGCAGAGACTGGAGTGATGTGGCCACAAGCACAGGGACACCTGGAGCCCCCAGGAGCTGGGAGAGGCAGGAAGGACCCTCCCTGAGAGCCTCTGGAGGGAACTGGATACAAGTGAAGTAGATTGAACTGTGATCCCCCAAAAAGGTATGTCCATGTCCTGATCCTCAGAATCTGTGACTGAGACCTTATTTGAAAAAGGGGTGTTTGCAGATGTAACTAAATAAAGGACCTTAAGATGAGATCATCCTGAATTATCTGTGTGGTCCCTAAATCAATGACAGATGTCCTTCTAAGAGACAGAAAGGAGACAGACACAGAGGAGAAGGCCATGTGGAGACAGAGGCAGAGACTAAAGTGACGCACCCACAAGCCCAGGGACACCTGGAGCCCCCAGGAGCTGGCAGAGGCAGAAAGGACCCTCCCCTAGAGTCTCTGGAGGGAGCATGTCCTTGAGATACCTTGATCTGAGACTACCAGCTTCCAGGACTGGGAGAGCATAGATTCTTGTAGTGTTAGCCACCGAATTTATGGCATTTTTTTGCAGGAACCCCAGGAAGCTCCTGAAGCAATCCGCCCTTCCATCTCTGTGTCTGGCAGACACTACTGTGTGATTCCAGCGGGACAGCACCCACCGCACTCACCTTCATTGCTCAGGGGGAAGGAACAGTCAGTCAGCTGTGAGTCACCAGAAGCCAAGAGCTTTCTCAATTTAGTTGTATCAGCTCTTCCCGGCAGCGTGTGGATTTCCTGCAAAAGTGGCCTCATGATTTACTTAGGGAAACAGCTCCAAGGATGGGAGACGGCTGCTCTCCACAATTTCCCTCCTGCAGCTAGGAAGGAAGTCAGGACTGTTCTGTGGGGTAAGTGAGATCAATAGCGTGCTTTCTTTTGTTTTGAGATGGAATCTCGCTCTGTCACCCAGGCTGGAGTGCAGTGGCTCCATCTTGGGTCACTGCAATCTTCACCTCCTGGGTTCAAGCGATTCTCCTGCCTCAGCCTTTTGAGTAGCTGGGATCACAGGTGTACTGATGATTAATAAAGAAAAATAGAATTAAATTGATGATGCTGAGAAGATATTTTTAAAAAAGACTGATTGTATTCTGTTTACATGATATGCATGTAAAACAAAATCACACAAACTAATTAAAAACAAAACAAGAGGCCAGGCACGGTGGCTCACGCCTGGAATCCCAGTACTTTGAGAGGCCGAGGTGGACAGATCACCTGAGATCAGGAGATCGAGACCATCCTGGCCAACATGGTGAAACCCCGTCTCTACTAAAAATACAAAAATTAGCCAGGCATGGTGGTGGGTGCCTGTAATCCCAGCTACTCGGGAGGCTGAGGCAGGAGAATTGCTTGAACCCGGGAGGCGAAGGTTGCAGTGAGCTGAGATTGCACCACTGCACTCCAGCCTGGGTGACAGAGCGAGACTCTCTCTCAAAAAAAAAAAAAAAAAGAAAAGAAATGGAAATATCGGGCAAGAACTAGTCAACATCCTGCCAATGAAGTAACATTCGTGTGTGGTGCAAGAGTGTTTAGGGAGAAAAGCTTGCAACAATGTATTCTACAACAGTAAAAGTAAAACTGTTTGAGGATGATGTAAGAGGTCAGTGTTCAATTCCCTGTACCATCATTAAACAGAAATGTGTGAAGAACCACAGAATCAACCAGGTCAACTTGTTCAACGTATTGAGATTGCAAATATATTATGGAGTAAAAATAATTCAAGTTGCGAAATACTCCATATGATACAATTTATCTACAAAACTTACAAAAGCAATCTATGTTGCTATAAGCACTTATTAATAATTATATATGTTATATATGTCTCACATGTACAGAAAAATATATACAGACGTATAGAGTTAGTAATATGTATTTGTAGACACACATATCATATGCGCAGTTTGAGTGTATACACATCTATGTGTACAAACTGTGTGTGTACACACGCACACACATGCACACACATCTCAAAATAGCATTTCCTACTGAATGACGACATTGTCTGGTGACAAAAAAAGAGGTGCTTAACTTTATATAATATTACACATTTCAAAGTTGGATATGTTCACAAATTACTTACATAAATAATAATATTACAGAATAAACAATTCCCTAATAATTATTATATTTTTTTGAGACAAAAAAATTAGCCAGCTGTGGTAGTGCATGCCTGTAATTCCAGCTACTCGGGCGGCTGAGGCAGGAGAATGGCTTGAACCCGGGAGGCAGAGGTTGCAGTGAGCCAGGATGGCGCCACCGTACTCCAGCCTGGGCAACAAGAGGGAAACTCCACCTCAAAAAAAAAAAAGGTAAAGGCACAAACAACAGTCAATGGAATATATTCGGACAAGTATCCTCTCAAAAATCAACACCATGCTGAGGTCACATTTTTGTGATTTGTATTTGAATTGGAAAACAGTGACTACATCCTTTTAGCCCAAATCATGCTGAAAGCAGTATTTACAACTTACTGCACACAGTGTTGCTAACCAAATACCATACTGAACACTAAATCAATCGTTAGTCACGATGCTGAACTAACTGTAATGGATAACAAGTAATCGGGATGCCATAATTGCATCTATCCCGACTATGTACGAAACCCACAACGCCCTGATAACAGCCCCTTTTCCCCAAACTGTGGGAATTTCAGTTGCTTTCAGATCCAGCTGAACTTCATGAGATTCGCCAAGCAGTGCTTTGGAGCAGGAGTTGTTAGTAAAATAACAAGTAGGGATCTTTAGGAAAACTCTAAAAATTTGCTCATTTACACTCTGTGGATTGTATTTTCACAACAGGCTACTAGGAAACAGCCCTTAATCCGAAGTGGAATCTAACATCTGGGAAATCAGCCGTATTTGCCTGTGAGAAAGAAAGGGAGAAGCCATATTTACATCAGCCCATGGTCCAAGGTCAGACAAGAGTCCCTTGCTTCTCTATGAAGCCTCAAATTTTCTCTTTCTTTTTATTTCTCTGTTTCTTTCGCCATCCCTTCCTTCCCTTCCCTTCCCTCCTTGCCTCCCTTCCTTCCTTCCTTCCTTCATTCCTTCATTCCTTCCTTCCTTCTCTCGCTCCTTCCTTCCTTCTCTTGCTCTGTCCTTCCTTCCTTCTCTCGCTCCTTCCTTCCTTCTCTCGCTCCTTCCTTCCTTCTCTTGCTCTGTCCTTCCTTCCTTCTCTCGCTCCTTCCTTCCTTCTCTCGCTCCTTCCTTCCTTCTCTTGCTCTGTCCTTCCTTCCTTCTCTCGCTCCTTCCTTCCTTCTCTTGCTCTGTCCTTCCTTCCTTCTCTCGCTCCTTCCTTCCTTCTCTCGCTCCTTCCTTCCTTCCTTCCCTCCCTTCCTCCTTCCCTCCCTCCCTCCTTCACTCCTTCTTTCCTTCCTTCCTTCCTCTTATTTTCCTTCTTTCCTTCCTTCCTTTTATGTTTCCTCTTTTCCTTCCTTCCCTCTTTTTCTTTTCCTTCTTTCCTTCCTTCCTTTTATGTTTCCTCTCTTCCTTCCTTCCCTCTTTTCCTTTTCTTTCCTTCCTTCCTTTTCTTTTCCTTCCTCTTTTGCTTTTCCTTCTTTCCTTCCTTCCTTTTTTGTTTCCTCTTTTCCTTCCTTCTTTCCTTTTCTCTTTTTCTTTACCTTCCTTCCTTTTTTCTTTTGTCTCTTCCTTCCTTCTTTCCTTCTTTCCTTCCTTCTTTCCCTCCTTCCCTCCTTCCCTCCTTCCTTTCTTTCTTTTCTTTTCTCTTTCTTTCTTTCTTGCTTTCTTTCTTTCTTTCCTTCCTTCTTTCTTCTTTTTCTTTCTTTTTCCCTTCTTTCTTTCTGTTTCTTTCGCTCCTCCCCCATCCTCCTCCTTCCCTCCCTACCCCCTCTTTCACTCTTGCTTGCTTTCTTTCTTGCTTGCTTTCTGAGACCTCTTTCCACATGTGATGAAAGCTCAGAACCCTCCATCTAGACATGGTGCAGACATACTCATACGTGCAAAGTTTTGCACCTAATTTCAGATGATTCATGAGGCCCCCAGCCCCTTTCCTGGACCCTATATTCCAGAATAAAATTTACCTTCTACCTTTCACACAATTTCTTCCGTGACCTAGGAATTCGACAGCGAAGACCCAAGATACTTCCAAGAGAAAGGCACGGTCCATTGAAGATTCTTTACAACCTCGGAAAGGTAAAGAGAGTCTTTATTTATTGAAGATGAAGATCCCTGAGTATTATTTTTTATGGCACCTCCGTGGGCTATGATGGATGACCCTGAGGGTCTCTCCAGCCCTGAAGTGAGACGGATTTTTCTACTGAACCACGGCAACACTGAATAGGAGGTTGTCTCTTACCTCTGTCTGTTGATTTTCACTGTTTCCTTTCTCTTTGTGTTTTAAAATTTTTATCTTTTGTGGGTACATGGTAGGTGTATATATTTATGTATATGTTGTGTGGATATATAGTAGGTGTATATATTTAGGGTGCGTGAGATTTTATTATTATTATTATTATGCTTTAAGTTCTGGGGTACATGGGCAAAACGTGCAGGTTTGTTACACAGGTATACATGTGCCATGGTGGTTTGCTGCACCCATCAACCTGTCATCTACATTAGGTATTTCTCCTAATGCTCTCCCTCCCCTATCCCCCCACCCCCCGGCAGGCCCTGGTGTGTGATGTTCCCCTCCCTGTGTCCATGTGTTCTCATTGTTCAACTCCCATTTTTCACACCCAGACTGGGTGTGTCTGCGAGGGTGTTTTGGGAAGAGATGAGCATTTCAATAGGTAGACTGAGTAAAGACCACCCTCACCAATGGGGATGGGTACTGTCCTCTCCACTGAGGGATTTGCAGAGAATGAAAATGCAGATGAAGGGAGACTATATTCTCTTTTCCTTACCTGGAACCGGGACCTCCAGCTTCTCATGCTCTTGGACATTGGTGCTCCCAGTGTTTGGGCCTTGACCTCCGTTTTTGTATACATCAGATATCACACACAGTCAACATGGCATAATTCATGTTCAATGCACCGTGCAGAGAGGATGTTTTGATACAAGCATGCAATGCTTCATAATCACATCATGGAGAATGGAGCTTGCATGCCCTCAAGCATTTATCCTTTGTGTTACAAACAATCCAATTATACTCTAATATGATTTGGCTGTGTCCCTACTCAAATCTCATCTTGAATTGTATCTCCCATGATTCCCATGTATTGTGGTGTCCCCAACCAAATCTCATCTTGAATTGTATCTCCCATGATTCCCATGTATTGTGGTGTCCCCAACCAAATCTCATCTTGAATTGTATCTCCCATGATTCCCATGTATTGTGGTGTCCCCAACCAAATCTCATCTTGAATTGCATCTCCCATGATTCCCATGTGTTGTGGTGTCCCCACCCAAATCTCATCTTGAATTGTAGCTCCCATGATTCCCATGTGTTGTGGGAGGGACTGGGTGGGAGATAAATGAATCATGGGGCTGGTTTCCCCCAGACTGTCCTGGAGGTCGTGAATAAGTCTCATGAGATCTGATGGTTTTATCAGGGGAAACTGCTTTCACTGGGCTCTCATTGTCTTCTGCCTGCCACCGTGTAAGATGTGCCTTTCTCCTTCCACCATGACTGTGAGGCCTCCTCAGCCATGTGGAACTGTGAGTCCATGGAACCTCATTTTCTTTATAAATTTCCCAGTCTCGGGTATGTCTCTTTTTTTAAATAAATTACCCAATCTAGGGTATGCTTTTTTTTTTTTTTTTTTTTTTTTTTTTGAGACCAAGTCTTACTCTGTTGCCCAGCCTGGACTGCAGTGGTGCAATCTCAGCTCACTGCCACCTCTGCCACCCATGTTCAAGTGATTCTCCAGCCTCAGCCTCCTGATTAGCTGGGATAACAGGCATGGGCCACCACGCCTGGCTAAGTTTTGTATTTTTAGTAGAGATGGGGTTTCACCATGTTGGCCAGGCTGGTCTCAAACTCCTGACCTCAGGTGATCTGCCCACCTCAGCCTCCCAAGGTGCTGGGATTACAGGCGTGAGCCACCGCACCCGGCTTTGGGTATGTCTTTATCAGCAGCATGAAAACGGACTAATACATACTCTTTTAGTTATCTTAAAATGTGCAATTAAATTATTTTGACGATAGTCACCCTGTTGTACTATCGAATACTAGGTATGAATAATTACATCATGGAGAATGGAATTCTTTTTCTATTTTATTTTATCTTTTTCTATTTTCTTTTCGATGAAATGAAGCCTCAGATGAGTGTCCGACTGTGATAAGCTCTTCCGTGCCATTTTCAAACTCTCTTGTCCTGTCTTTCACTCTTTAGGCAACATGTTCTCTTCTTTGTTTTCAAACTACACTCTCAATACTGTCAAACCAGGAAAAAAAAGAGAAAAGCATCTTTTAGTGAACAATTGGGTGAATTTGGGTAATTTAGCCACCCATACCAGGTGGCATTATTCATATTCAGAACACTATTTTTTTTTTTAGATGGAGTCTCACTCTGTTGCCCAGGCTGGAGTGCAGTGGCGCCTTCTTGGCTTACTGCAACCTCTGCCTCCCAGGTTCAAGCAAAACACGATTTTTTTTTTTTTTTTTGTATAGAAGAAATGTCACACTCACATTGCATCTTTGAGCCAACCTGCATTTTCTCCTCTGCAAGACTGACCTCCGGAGAAAAAGGGAAGTGCAGATATAAGTGGTGTTCACCTGAACAGAATTAGGGGCAGCTAATCCCGACCTCACATCTATTGTCACCGTTACACAAATCAAAACAGAAGCGAGAGGAATGTGACAAACAGAGCATGGAGGAGAAGAACCCTGGCTGGAGAAGCAAAGGGCAGATTCAGTGAATGAGACTGACAGAAGAAAAGCCGAGGATGAAATGAAAGACTCCAGGGTGGCAGCTATGGAAAAAAAAAAAAAAAATACAGACAGAGGGCACTGAGAAACAGAAACAAAGAAGAAAGGGAGAAAATTAAAGTTTATTTGTAAAAGTGTGTTTACTGGCCGGGCGCAGTGGCCCACGCCTGTCATCCCAGAACTTTGGGAGGCTGAGGCGGGTGGATCACAAGGTCAAGAGATCGAAACCAGCCTGGACAACATGGTAAAACCCCATCTCTACTAAAAATGCAAAAATTAGTCAGGCATGGTGGCGTGCGCCTGTAATCCCAGCTACTCAGGAGGCTGACGCAGGAGAATCACTTGAGCTCGGGAGGCGGAGGTTGCAGTGAGCCGAGATCGCGCCACTGCACCCCAGCCTGGCAAAAAAGCGAGACTCCTTCTAAAAAAAAAAAAGTGTGTTTACTATTTCTTCCTGGGGCAAAGGATGCTTGGCGATGTGGGAGCTTCCTGAATATGAAGACAGGGATGTACAGTTTGCAGATACCTGTAGCTATGACTGTTAACATGTCTAGTGAAACGGCTCAGGTTAGCACGGTGATGATATAAGCTTCACCGTGAGCCCACAAGGTGGCATGTTGTATGGGGCCCAGGCCTGCCTTTAGGAGACTGTATTTGTCAGTTCTCAGCCTGTTATAAAGAAATACCTGGCCGGGCGCGGTGGCTCACACCTGTAATCCCAGCACTTTGGGAGGTCAAGGCGGGTGGATCACCTGAGGTCAGGAGTTCGAGACCAGCCTGTCCAACATGGTGAAGCCCTGTCTCTACTAAAAATATAAAAATTAGCTGAGCATGGTCACAGATGCCTGTAATCCCAGCTACTCAGGAGGCTGAGGCAGGAGAATTGCTTGAACCCAGCAGGTGGAGGTTGCAGTGAGCTGAGATAGCACCACTGCACTCCACTCTGGTCAACAAAGAGCGAAACTCCGTCTCAAAAAAAAAAAAATTTCCACAAAAAAATGTTAAAATTAGTGGGGCATGGTAGTGCATGACAGCAGTCCTAGTTACTCAGGAGGCTGAGATAGGAGGATTACTTGAATCTGCAAGGTTGAGGCTGCAGTGGGCTGTGATTGTAGCACTGCACTCCAGCCCGGGTGACAGAATGAAGTCTTGTCTCAAAACAACAACATAAACAAAAACAGAAATAAGGACAGAGGGCCGGATGTGGTGGCTCACGCCTGTAATCCCAGCACTTTGGGAGGCCGATGCCTGCGGATCACCTGAGGTCAGGCGTTCAAGACCAGCCTGACCAACATGGTGAAACCTCGTCTCTACTAAAAAATACAAAAATTAGCTAGGCATGGTGGTGCATGCCTGTACTACCCTCCAGCTACTCAGGAGGCTATGGTGGGAGAATTGCTTGAACCTGGGAGGGAGAGGTTGCAGTGAGCCGAGATCATACCACTGCATTTCAGCCTGGACGACAGAGCAAGACTCGGTTTCAAAAAAGACATAAGGGCAGAGTTTGCATCTACTGTGAGAAGGGTAATTAGGCCAGTTACTAACAGGTATTCTGCTTTTTAATTAATTAAGTAATTAATTGACTAATAATTAGTTGAATTAATTAATTGACTAATTTATTGAGATTCCAGCTCTGTCGCCCAGGCTGAAGTACAGTGGCGCGATCTCAGCTCACTGCAGCCTCTGCCTCCTGGGTTCCAGCAATTATCATGTCTCAGCCTCTCAAGTAGCTGGGATTACAGGAGCGCCCCACCATGCCTGGCTAATTTTTGTATTTTTAGTGGAGACAACGTTTGACCGTGTTGGCCAGGCTGGTCTCGAACTCCTGACCTCAGGTTACCCACCTGCCACGGCTTCTGAAAGTGCCGGGATAACAGGCGTGGGCCGTGATGGCTGGCCAGTAGCTGTTCTGCTTTGAAAAGGAGAGTGAGGATTCACTTAATGAGAATTTTCACTGGTGCAAGAATGAAACAGGAAAAACAAAGAAATAAACAGACAAAAACGGGAGCTAGGGTTGACCTTAAAGCAAGCAGAAAAACAGAAACACACGTGATACAGGTGTGCCAATGACGTGCCTGGAGATTTATGTCAAAGGGAGAGAAAATACAAAAAGAGCTAAAGGCCAGGTGCCATGGCTCACGCCTGTAATCCCAGTACTTTGGGAGGCACGAGGTTGGGAGTTGGAGACCAGCCTGGCCAACATGGTGAAACCCCGTCTCTACTAAAGATACAAAAAATTAGCTGGGCGCGGTGGTGGACGCCTGTAATCCCAGGTACTCTGGAGGCTGAGGCAGGAGAATCGCTTGAACCTGGGAGGCGGAGGTTGCAGTGAGCCGAGATGACACCACTGCACTCCAGCCTGGGCAACAAGAGTGAAACTCCGTCTCAAAAAAACAAACAAACAACAACAACAACAAAATCTGAGAGGTTTTTAATGGTGGTAAAATACACAAAACACACAATTTACCATTTTAACCATTTTATACTGAACAATTCAGTGGCATTTACTGCGTTCATGATGTTGTGGGATCACCCCCTGTATCCAGTTCCACAACATTTCTGGCACCCCCAGAGGAGAACCCATTCCCATTTGCAGGCACCCCCCTTCCCCTCACCCCTCAGCCCCTGGAAATGACCCAAATGTCCAACAGTGGATGACTGGATACTCACAATGTGGTTTATCTGTACCGTGGAATATTATGCAGCCATGAAAAGGAATCGAGCTCTGATATGTGATTCAGCCCAGATAAGCATCGTTCCATTTCACTCTGCAGGTCACAGGGCAGGTTAAAGAAACACGTTGTTGTTAGATGACAATAAAAGGGATACTCGGCCGAGCACGGTGGCTCATGCTCGTAATCCCAGCACTTTGGGAGGCTGAGGCAGGCCGATCACAAGGTCAACAGATGGAGACCATCCTGGCCAACACTGTGAAACCCTGTGTCTACTAAAAATACAAACACAAAAAAATTAGCTGGGCATGGTGGCATGCACCTGTAATCCCATCTACTCAGGAGGCTGAGGCAGGAGGATCTCTTGAACCCCAAAGGCAGAGGTTGTAGTGAGCCAAGATTGCACCACTGCACTCCAGGCTGGTGACAGAGCCAGACTCATCGCAAAAAAAAAAAAAAAAAAAAAAAAAAAGATACTTGTGATTACAAAGGATAACTAACTATAGACAGTGTTTGTAGGCATTCAGCTAAGCACCTGTTGCATGCATCCTTCCAGGTATTATCTCTTAATTCTTACAGCAAACTTTGCAGGTGTACGCTACCATCATCCCGGCCAGCCCACGGCCACGTTGTCACCAACAACTGACTTCACCTGCAAGCAGGCCCCTCCCAGATGCATCAGAATCTCAACCCTGAATTCTTAAAAGCTGCACGACAGTGTCTCTCTCCCTGTGTCCTCACTTTGAGGAGACAAGACAGAGCTATGCAGAGAAGTGAACGGTGTTAGTGACGGACGGTTCTGGGTTTTGATCCCATCTCATTTCACGTTCCCTTTGCCGTGGGTATCTCAGTATCTCACAGCCTGATCTGCTGAGTTACCCTGACGTCGGTGGCTCAGAAAATAGAGAGAGATAAGAACAGAGATAAGAAAGTAAAAGGATGTAGAGAGATGGACCTAATAGAATTCAGAAGCTGCTCTCAAGAGGAGAATAAAGATTTGGGGATATGGATTGCCAGACAGTGCATAGTGTGGTGGTTTCTGTTGAGGGCTGGGTATGAGAGAAAAGTGGAGAGAAGGAGAGGAAGAGAGAGAGGGAAGAAGGGCCATGGAGAAGACAGAGGAGAGAGAGAAAAAAAAAGGAGAGAGGAAGAGAAACGGAGAGATGGAGAGTGGGGTAGAGAGGGTGGAAGAAAGAGAGAGGGTGAGAGGGGGAAGAGGGAGATTTTGAGAGAGAGAGAGAGGGAGAGGAGGGAAAAAGAGAGAGAGGAAACAGATACTGAGAAAGAGAGAGTCAGAAAGGAGAGGGAAAGAGAGAGAGAAAGGAGAGGGAAAGAGAGAGAGAAAGGAGACTGAGAAAGGAGAGGGAAAGAGAGAGAGAAAGGAGACTGAGAAAGGAGAGGGAAAGAGAGAGAGAAAGGAGACTGAGAAAGGAGAGAGAAAGGAGAGAGAGAGGGAGTGGGGGAAAGACAGAAGAGAAATACTGAGAGAGTGAAAAAGGAGAAGGAAAGAGAGACAAAGAGGGAGAAAAGAGGGGCTGGGCGTGGAGGCTCACACCTGTAATCCTATCACTTTGGGAGGCCGAGGTGGGAGGATTGCTTGAGGTCAGGAGTTCGAGACCAGCCTGGTCAACATGGCAAAACCCCATCTCTACTAAAAATACAAAAATTAGCTGGGCGTGGTGGCTCGCACCTGTAATCCCAGCTACTCGGGAGACTGAGATAGGAGAATCACTTGAACCCGGGAGGCAGAGGTTTCAGTGAACTGAGATTGCACCACGGCATTCCGCTCTGAGTGGCAGAGTGAGACTCCATCTCGTGATCTCACGGAGGCAGAAAATGGAAGGTTACACCTATATCGATTGTTTCACCAGCTTCTGTGAATTGAGCTGGGCCGAATCATCAAATTGAGGTTAAAACAGTCTCGTACTCACAATATACAAAGAACTGAAACAGCTACAACAACAAACAACACTATTAAGATGTGGGCAGGCCGGGCGCGGTGGTTCACAACTGTAATCCCAGCTCTTTAGGAGGCCAAGGCGGGCAGATCCTGAGGTCAGGAGATCGAGACCATCCTGACCAACATGGTGAAACCTCATCTTTACTAAAACACAAAAAAATTATCCAGGTGTGGTGGCTCATGCCTGTAGTTCCAGCTTCTTGGGAGGCAGAGGCAGGAGAATTGCTTGAACCCGGGAGGAGGAGGTTGCAGTGAGCCAAGATCGCGCCACTGCGCTCCAGCCTGGGCAACAGGGCCAGACTCTGTCTTAAAAAAAAAAAAAAAAAAATTTTGCCGGATGTGCTGGTACATGCCTGGTAGTCCCAGCTACTCAAGAGGCTGAAGTGGAAGGATTGCTTGAGTGCAGGAGTTTGAGGCTGCAGTTAGCTGTGATCACACCACCGCACTCCAGCCTGGGTGACAGAGGTAGACCCTATCACAAATAAACAAACAAACAAACGAATGAATGAAAGGGCAGATGTGAAAAAATCACATCTCCTCTGAAGACAGGACGTTGAAGCAGTCAGACTATATTTACCGTTTATATTTCCATTCACCTTTAAGGATATCAAATTCAAAGCCAGTTCTCCCCTACAAATATTCATGACAGGCTGGGCACAGTGTTTCACGCCTGTCATTCCAGCACTTTGGGAGGCCGAGGTGGGCGGATCACCTGAGGTCGGGACTTAGAGACCAGCCTGACCAACATGGAGAAATCCCATCTCTACTAAAAATACAATTAGCCAGGTGTGGTGGCGCATGCCTGTAATCCCAGCTACTCAGGCAGCTGAGGCAGGAGAATCGCTTGAACCCGGGAGGCGGAGGTTGCACTGAGCCAACATCACACCACTGCACTCCAGCCTGGGCAACAAGAGTGAAACTCCATCTCAAAAAAAAAAAAAAATATTCATGACGATGTCTGCAAAAATACAGAGATACATACCTTTGGCTGTGACATTGTCTATAAGGACAAATGTCTGAGACTAGCAGGGCACCCATCTACAAGGAATGGGTTAAATATTACACAGTACATTTATGTAACGGAATAGTATGCAGTCAAGAAAAAGGAAAAGAACTACGCATTTCCGTATACAAAACCATGAAGCAATCTTCAGTGCATTGGAAATGAAAAACAAGCTGTAGAATGATGGGTGCAGGATGTCCATGTTTTCCTTTTAAATATATATATGCTTGTAAATGAATAGAGCATCATAGGAAAGATAAGACTTTGGAAAATGAGGCCCTGGCCAGGCGCAGTGGCTCAGGCCTGTAATCCCGGCACTTTGAGAGGCTGAGGCAAGCAGATCACGAGGTCAGGAGTTCGAGACCGGCCTGGCCAATATGGTGAAACCCTGTCTCTACTAAAAATACAAAAATTAGCCGGGCATTGTGGCAGGTGCCTGTAGTCCCAGCTACGCGGGAGGCTGAGGCAGGAGAATCTCTTGAACCCGGGAGGCGGAGGTTGCGGTGACCCAAGATCGTGCCACTGCACTCCAGCCTGGGTGACAGAGCCAGACTCTGCCTGAGAAAAAAGAAAAAGAAAAATGTGTGCATTTTCAAAATACATGAATAGATATGTCTATTTTCACAGTTAGGGTGACCTCACGGAGGCAGAAAATGGAAAGTTACACCCGTGTCGACTGTTTCACCAGCTTCTGTGAATTGAGCCGGGACGAATCATCACGTTGAGGTTAAAACAGTCTCCTACTCACAATATACAAAGAACTGAAACAGCAACAACAACAACAAACAAATAACACTATTAAGATGTGGGCAGGCCGGGCGCGGTGGCTCACAACTGTAATCCCAGCACTTTGAGAGGCCAAGGCGGGCAGATCCTGAGTTCAGGAGATCAAGACCATCCTGACCAACATGGTGAAACCCCATCTTTACTAAAACACAAAAAATTATCCAGGTGTGGTGGCTCGTGCCTATAGTTCCTGCTATTTGGGAGGCTGAGGCAGGGGAATCGCTTGAACCCAGGAAGTGGAGGTTGCAGTGAGCCAAGATGGAGCCACTGCACTCCAGCCTGGAGATAGAGCAAGACTCTGTCTCAAAAAAAAAAAAAAAAAGCAAAAAGAAAGTTACATTGGTTTTTAATCTACCATCCGTTTTTGTGGGTGACAGAAACATGATTTGTTTGCAGCGGAGTGGGGCTCCCTTCTTTGTTCCTGATCTCAGAGGAAAGATCTTGGTCAGTCTTCCATCCTATGAGTTACAGTTAGCTGTGGGTTTTCTGTCGATCCCACTATAGGGTTAAGCAGACTTGGCTCAGCATTTTTATTTCCAAGTTGATTTTCATTTTTGTCAAGTACTTCTGCTGCATGTTTTGAAAAGATTGTACACATTTTTCTCTTTAGTGGCTTGATTGAGCTAATTACATTGATTTTTCGATGTTAAAAAACAGCCCTTCTTGTGTTCATAAAATAAACCTCACAGGGTCATGGTGCCATATATCCAGACGGTGTTTTCCTTGATTTGTTGATACGCTGTTGAGAATTTCTGCTTCTGGGTGAATGACGAATATCTGTCTGTGGTTTTCTTGTCTGACATTTTTCCTCTTTATGTTGGTATTGTGGTAACAATGTTGGCTTCATACAATGGGTTGGAAAATGCTGTGTTCTTCTATTTTAGGAAGTGTTTGGGTAAAATTAGGTATCTTCCTCCAATAACTGTTTAATGGAATTGGCCAGTGAAGACCTCTGCAGAGTTTTCTGTGTTGGAAGGTGTTAACTAAGAATTCATTTATTTGGGCGGGCATGGTGGCTCTTGCCTGTCATCCCAGCACTTTGGGAGGCCAAGGCAGGTGAATCACGAGGTCAAGAGATCGAGACCATCCTGGCCAACATGGTGAAACCCCATCTTTACTAAAATACAAAAATTAATTGGGTGTGGTGGTGTGTGCCTGTAGTTTCAGCTATTTGGGAGGCTGAGGCAGGAGAATTGCTTGAACCCAGGAGGCGGAGGTTGCAGTGAGCTGAGATCATACCACAGCACTCCAGCCTAGCGACAGGGCGAGATTCAGTCTCAAAATAATTTTTTTTTTTTTGGTAGACATAGAACTATTCAGGTTATCGGTTTCTTCTTGAGTTAGGTTTGGTAGTGTGTGTCTCTCTAGGACTTTGCCTTTACATCAATGCTACCAATTTTATGTGCATAAAATCATTTGTAGTATCCTTTCATTATCCTTTTAGTATCAATAGGGGCTACAGGGATGTCCCTCTTGCATCCCTGATACTAGTGACGTTTATGGTTTATTTTTATGTTTTTCTTTCTGGTGAAAGCTCCATCCATATGTTTGATCCCTTCCATGAATCTGATTTTAGATTTATTCATTTTTTCATATTTTTTTTTCTGTTTCTAATTATATCTTTATTATTTCTTTTCTTCTGCCTGACTTGGCTAAACTTTTCTCTTCTTTTAATAATTTTTTTAAGGATAGGACATCAGATAATTGATTGCAGACATTTTTCTAAAAAAAAAGTAAGCATATTATCTAATAAGTATTAGAATATATTATAGAATATAAGCATTATATTATGTATATGCAATAAATTTTTTCAAAGTACTCCTGTACCTGTTTTTTTTTTTTTTTTTGAGATGGAGTTATGCTCTGTCGCCCAGGCTGGAGTGCAGTGGCTTGATCTCAACTCACTGCAACCTCTGCCTCTTGACTCACTGCAACCTCCACCTCCCGGGTTCAAGCGATTCTCCTGCCTCAGCTTCCCAAGTAGCTGGGACTACAGGCACCAAGCACCACGCCCTGCTAATTTTTGTATTTTTAATAGAGATAGGGTTTCACCATGTTGGCCAGGCTGGTGTCAAACTCCTCACCTAAAATGATCCACCGCCTCTTTGGCCTCCTGAAGTGCTGGGATTACAGGTATGAGCCACCGCGCCAGGCCCCATGTTTCTCGATTTTTGATACATTGATAATTTCATTTTCATTCAATTAAAAGTATTTCAAAATTTCCCTTCTTGCTTCTCCTCTGACCCATGAGTCATTTAGCTGATAACTTTTTAGTGTCCAAATATGTGGGCATTTTCCAGATATCTTCCTGCTGTTGATTAATGGTTTCATTATTTATAGGACTGTAGCAAGTATTATTTTAATTGTTTTAAATTCGTTAAGGTTTGTTTTACAGCTTAGAATATGTTGTATCTCTGTGGCATTCGCTGGGTACTTAAACTTCGTGCATTTTCTGCTGTCGCTTGGTGGAATGTTCTAGAAATGTCCATTGAGTCATTGATTGATTGGTTGATTGATAGTATTATTATTATTATTATTATTTTGAGACAGAGCCTCTCTCTGTCCCCCAGGCTGGAGTCCAGTGGTATGACCTCAGCCCACCACAACCTCCACCTCCCAGGTTCAAACGATTCTCGTGCCTCAGTCTCCCGAGTAGCTGGGATTACAGGTGCCCGCCAGTACGACCAGCTAATTTTTAGTAGAGAGGGGATTTCACCAGATTGGCCAGGTGGGTCTCGAACTCCTGGCCTCGAGTGATCCACCCGCCTCCGCCTCCTAAAGTGCTGGGATTACAGGTGTGAGTCACCATGCACAGGTGATAGTACTATTATTACTACTACAATTATTATTTTCAGACAGGGCCTTGCTCTGTCGCCCAGGCTGGAGTGCAGTGCTGTGATCTCGGCTCACTGCAACCTCCACTTCCCAGGCTCAAGGATCCTCCCACCTCAGCCTCCCGAGTAGCTGGAACTATAGGTGTGCACCGCCATAGCCACCTAATTCTTGTATTTTTTGTAGAGATAGAGTTTTGCCATATTGCTCAGGCTGGTCTCAAACTCCTGGACTCAAGCCATCCACTTGCCTCGACCTTCCAGAGTGCTGGGATTCCAGGCATGAGCCACCGTGCTCGGCCTAATGATTGATTGTGTTATTAAAAAGTCTCTACTTGATGTATCAATTATTGAAAGAGGAATGTTCGTGTTCCCAACTCTCAGGCGACAGAGAGAGACCGTATCTCTAAAAAGAAATGAATTATGCATTCACCTATTTCTCCTCTCAATTCTGTATCTTCTTTCGCTTTATGTATTTCGAGGATTTGTTTTGCGTTGAATACATCATCAAAATCATTTTGTCTTCTTGGTGAATTGCCCCCTTTGTCATTAGATAATGTCCCATTTTACCAGTGGTAATTGTTATTCTTCTGAAGTGTACTTTGCCTGACGTTAACAGGATCTCTCCACTGCGTTTCCGTCTTTTCTTTCTTTCTTTTTTTTTCTTTTTTTTTTGAGATAGAGTCTTGCTCTGTCACCCAGGCTGAAGTGCAGAGGCACGATCTTGGCTCACTGCAACCTCCACCTCCCGGGTTCAAGTGATTCTCCTGCTTCAGCCTCCTGAGTAGCTGGGATTACAGGCACATGCTACCACACCTGGCTAACTTTTGTATTTTTAGTAGAGATGGGGTTTCACCATGTTGTCCAGGATGGTCTCGAACTCCTGATCTTGTGATCTGCCCACCTCGGCCTCCCAAAGTGCTGGGATTACAGGCATGAGCCACCACGCCCAGCCCCATATTTTCATATTGTTGTGGTAAACTGAGGAACGGAGAGACCAATACAGAGTATAGCAGGATTTGTTTATTTTAGGTACGCACCTGCTCACAGGACTCACATCCAAAAGCTGAGCCCTGAACAAAGACAGAGCGGGGTTTTCATAAGCGGCTTTACAGAAGCAAAATAAAAGCAGTTACTCCTACAGTGGCAGGTCACGTCATCTATAGCATCACATAAGTTGTGACTGCGTAGCTGGTGGCCTTGTAACTGCATTGAAAGAAAAACAAGAACTGGCTAAATACAGACATTCATAAAGCATGATCATGCTAATTATGCTTAAGAAGGCTGGGAAAAGAGTAACAGTGAAAGCGTCTGTCTTTCTCTTTTTTCCTTCAACCTTGCTCTGGGAGGGAGGTGGGGTGTCTGGAGCCCATTCCTTTGGCCTTGGCTATTCGGACAGCATTGTCTTCTAACTGTCCTTGAAGCGAGCTGCTAGGAGAGGAAAACTTCTTTTCTTTCTAACCCTCACCTTGCCACATTCTGGGCCTTAGCGTTTACTTTTCTTGGAGTGAATAAATGCAGTACTACTACTACTTATTATTATTATTATTATTTTGAGGCAGAGTCTCGCTCTGTCGCCCAGGCTGGAGTACAGTGGCGCGATCTTGGCTCACTGCAAGCTCCACCTCCCGGGTTCACGCCATTCTCCTGCCTCAGCCTCCCCAGCAGCTGGGACTACGGGCGCCCGCCACCACGCCTGGCTAATTTTTTGTGTTTTTAGTAGAGATGGGGTTTCACCGTGTTAGCCAGGATGGTCTCGATGTCCTGACCTCGTGATCCGCCCGCTTCGGCCTCCCAAAGTGCTGGGACTACAGGCGTGAGCCACCGCGTCCAGTCCTTATTATGATTATTTTAAATTTCTGCCTCAGTATGTTTCTATTCCCGTATGTTTGCCTTTGCTACAAGGGCAAAATACGGAAAATATGTACTAAGCCTCCGTGGCTGTTTTGCAAATAGAAAACCCACAGTTGCAATGGAAAAACCCAGCGGGCTGCCGAGGTAAATAGCATCTTGGATGCTCCAGCTTGATACTAATAAAAGTAAAAATGGCAGGATTGAAAAAAAAAAAAAAAGACCAGGGTTTTCCTTTCTTGCTTGCAAACAAGGGAACCCAATAACATGTTTGGTGAAAGGGCCACATAGATTACAGCATTTGTACAAGAAAAATATTAATTCTAGCTGCTTTGCTGGGAAGATGCATTCTTTTTTTTTTTTTTTTTTTTGAGATGGAGTTTCACTCTGTTGCCCAGGCTGGAGTACAGTGGCGTGATCTCGGCTCGCTGCAACCTCCGCCTCCCGGGTTCACGCCATTCTCCTGTCTCAGCCTCCCGAGTAGCTGGGATTACAGGTGTACACCACCATGCCTGGCTAATTTTTGTATTTTTAAGTAGAGATGGAGCTTCACCATATTGGCCAGGCTGGTCTCGAACTCCTGACCTCGTGATCTGCTGGCCTCGGCCTCCCAAAGTGCTGAGATTACAGGGGTGAGCCACTGCACCCAGCCTATGCATTCATTTTTAAAAAATGAATGTATTTCCAGAAAATTTCCACAGAAATTGCAAAGTAACTGGGCCACGACGTCTTAATTTTTCCCTGCAATTGAGATGTCTGAACACATATGATTCCAGTAATTACAAAGTATATTTTAATATCCAGATGACAGGTAGCTTGAATTTTCCTCCTTGCTTGGAGGATTGTCCAAGCAATGGAGAAACCACATCGTTTCATCAAGGACTTCACCGCTGAGTCCACGAGGGGATGGCAGAGCTTGCGCTTGCAAAAAATATGGGGCAGGGTGGGTTGAGAGGCCAGTTTGGCCTTCACGTTCTCTCCTGTACCACACCATGCACAGTTTAGCCAGGACTCAAAGGAGATGGCCGCTGGAGTCTCAGCCGCTGACTCTCGTTCCCTAGCTGACTTTACTGGGAAGAGGGAAGAGGTACACCTTGTTTATCTCCAGGAGGTGGAATAGGATTAAATGTGGTTCTGCAGAAATGCAGGTGACAGTTCAGTCCAAATGGGGATTGTGATGTGGATATTTGTCCTTCACTGCCTCCTATGTAACAAGAGACCTGGAGGTCTCGGCCGGGCGCAGCGGCTCACGCCTGTTATCCCAGCCCTTTGAGAGGCCAAGGCGGGTGGAATACGAGGTCAGGGGTTTGAGACCAGCCTGGCCAGCATGGTGAAACCCCGTCTCTACTAAAAATACAAAAATTAACCGGCTGTGGTGGTGAGTGCCTGTAATCCCAGCTACTGGGGAGGCTGAGGCAGGAGAATCTCTTGAACCCAGCAGGCGGAGGTTGCAGTGAGCCGAGATGGCGCCACTGCACTCCAGCCTGGGCAACAGAGCAAAACTTTGTCTCAGAAAAGAAAAGAGAGAGAGAGAGAGACCTGGAGGTCTGACACCTAAAATCACTGCTGATGTGGCTGGTATAGGACACACACGTAAACAATCCATAAATACGCAGCAAACAGCCTGCTGATGTGGCTGGTACAGGACACACACGTAAGCAATCCATAAATACGCAGCAAACAGCCTAGTTATTTGACATGGTGCAAACACAAAACAAAATATGATTCTTAAATATTTTCTTTAGTTGAAGAATATGAGCCTGGCTGAGAGACGCTCATTAACCAGGTTAGATAATAGCAAAATTACAAAGAATCTCTGTGCAGAATTTGAGTGCTGTTTCCCCTGAATGCCTGTCTGTGGGGTAAGTGTTAGAATCATCAAAGGAATTGGTTAAAAGTACTATGAGGCCAGGCATGGTGGCTCATGCCTGTAATCTCTGCACGTTGGGAGGCCAAGGTGGGAGGATAGTTAGAGCCTAGGAGTTCAAGACCAGCCTGGGCTATATAAGAACAAGCCCCTCTCTGCAAATAAATAAATAAATAAATAAATAAGCTGGTGTTTGGGTGCACACCTGTAGTCCCAGCTACTCAGGACGCTTTGAAGGGAGGACTGCCTGAGCCCAGGAATTCAAGAACAGCCTGGGTAACATAGTGAGACCCCTGTCACTACAAAAATAAAAAAAAAATCAGCTAGGTGTGGTGGTGCACGCCTGTAGTTTCAGCTACTCAGGAGGCTGAGGTGGAGGGGGGATCACTTGAGCCCAGGAGTTTGATGCTGCAGTGAGCCATGATCACACCACTGCACTCCAGCCTGGGTGACAGAGCAAGAGCTTGTTTCTAAACAATTAACAATTAATAAATCATTCTACTATAAAGACACAGGCACATGTATGTTTCTTGAGGCACTATGCATGGTAGCAAAGACTTGGAACCAACCCAAATGTCCATCAATGATAGACTGGATGAAGAAAATGTGGCACATAGACACCAAGGAATACTATACAGCCATAAAAAAGGAGGAGTTCATGTTCTTTGCAGGCACACGGATGAAGCTGGAAACCATCATTCTCAGCAAACTCACACAGGAACAGAAAACCAAACATCGCATGTTCTCACTCATAAGTGGGAGTTGAACAATGAGAACACATGGACACAGAGAGGGGAACATCACACACCTGGGCCTGTTGGGGGCTGGGGGACAAGGACAGGGAGAGCATTAGGACAAATACGTAATGCCTGCGGGGCTTAAAGCCTAGATGATGGGTTGATGGGTGCAGCAAACCACCATGGCACATGTATACCTGTGTAACACACCTGCACATTCTGCACAGGTACCCCAGAACTTAAAGTAAACGAACAAACAACAAAAAAAAACATACGATAGACCTGGTGTCTAACCGAGTTATAGTCGTCGGAGATAGAAACCAGGAATATGCATTTTTATGGTACATCTGGAGTGAATTTGATGTACAGTCAGGCTGAGGAAACACTTCATGAAAGACGTCAGAAGACACAGATGTAAAACTCAACTGCTTTATTCATCCACTTATGAGTCCTGGAGTTTCAGACGTTTGCTAAAACAGGATGTTCATGGGGCCTGCCTAGTGCCCGGCGTCCGGAGAGAATTCAGTGACAAAACAAATCTGAAAGTCCCTAAGAACTTGCGTTCCAAGACACAAACACACGACCTGCTCTGTGGATGTAATGACTTAGGAGAAAAATGAAGTGTCAACATTTTGCACTAGCAATGTCCAAATAGCCAATCTAATATCAGATACATCGTCTCTGGGAGAGAAATGGAGTGAGTTCCCCAGAGGACAAAGAGAAATGGGAGTTTCTCCTACTCCCCTCCACCCAGGAGGTTTGACAATGCTGATAAGAGTTCCCATATCATCCACGGGCAGAGTCGTTCTGAAACCCAGAGGCGTATCTCATGGGAGCCAAGAGAAAAGGACGACACGTAAAATGGGAAGGATAAAAGGGAATAGACCCCCAATTGTGTGAAATGAGGAAGTGCCCTGTCTGGGAAAACACCAGGTAATTATGTCCTATCCCTCAGCAGATTTCTCCTTCTTTCCTTTTTTTCTTTCTTTCCTTTCTTTTTCTTTCTTTCTTTTCTTTCTTTCTTTCTTTCTTTCTTTCTTTCTTTCTTTCTTTCTTTCTTTCTTTCTTTCTCTTTCTTTCTTTTACTTTCTTCTTTCTCTTTCTTTCTTCTTTCTTTCTCTCTTTTTCTTCTTTCTTTCTTTTTCTCTCTTTCTTTCTCCTTCAGCAGATCTTTCTTCCTTTTTCTTTCTTTCTTTTTCTCTCTTTCTCCTTCAGCAGATCTTTCTTTCTCTTTCTTTCTTTTTCTCTCTTTCTCCTTCAGCAGATTTTCTTTCTTTCCTTTTCCTTTCTTTCTCTTTCTTTCTTCTTTCTTTCTTTCTCCCACAGCAGATTTTCCCTTCCTTCCTTCCTTTTCTTTCTTTCTTTCGTTCATTTGTTCTTTCTCTCTCTCTTTCCCCTCCCTCCCTCCCTCCCTCCTTCCTTCCTTCCTTCCTTCCTTCCTTCCTTCCTTCCTTCCTTCCTTTCTCTCTCTCTCTCTCCCCTCCCTCCCTCCCTCCCTCCCATGTGGCCAGGCTGCTCTCGAACTCCTGACCTCAAGTGATCTGCTTGCCTCGGCCTCCCAACATGCTGGGATTACAGGTGTGAGCCACCATGCCCAGCCTCAAATCAGAAAGTCTCTGAATCCACCTATGACCTGTGGGGCCCCGCTTCCAAATATCCCACCCTTTTAGGCCAAAACCAACGTATAACCTTCTTGTACTGTTTTATGATTTTACCTGTACCTTCTGCTTTCCTGAAATGTATCCCTGCTTGGGGTCAGGTGTGATGGCAAACACCTGTAAGCCTAGCACTTTGCAGGACTGAGGCAGGAGGATCGCCTAAGGTTGGGAGTTTGAGGCCAGCCTGAGCAATCTAGTGAGACCCCATCTCTACAGGAAAATAAAAGAATTAGCCAGGCATGGTGGTGCACACCTGCGGTCCCAGCTACCTGAGAGGCAGCGATGGGAGAATGGTTGCAGCCTGGGAGATCAAGGGTACAGTGAGCCGTGATGGCACAACTGCACTCCAGCCTGGGCGACAGACAGAGACCGTATCTCTAAAAAGAAATGAATACTTTTTTAAAAATTAAAAGCAGCCGGGCGCAGTGGCTCAAGCCTGTCATCCCAGCACTTTGGGAGGCCAAGGTGGGTGGATCACAAGGTCTGGAGTTCGAGACCAGCCTGGGCAACGTGGTGAAACCGCGTCTCAACTAAAAATACAAAAATTAGCTGGGTGTGGTGGTGGGTGCCTGTAACCCCAGCTACTGGCGAGGCTGAGGTAGGAGAATCGCTTGAACCCGGGAGGCGGAGGTTGCAGCGAGCCGAGATCACGCCACTACACCCCAGCGTGGCAACAGTGAGACTCTGTCTCAAAAAAAAAAAAAATTTGAAATTAAAAGCCATTAGAGGAGTCAGGGCTTAAGCATGAACTGCTCGATTCTCCTTGCTTGGCGCCCTGCAAGTAAACATCCTGTTTACTCCCACTGCAAGACCTCGGTGTGGATGTTTGGCCTCACTGTGCCCGGCTGGTGGACGCCAGTTCCAATCAGTAACCATTTTTGAAAAAATGCAGCAGGAAAGCGCCCGCCGCTGGATCTGAGCATCCTCTCTGGAGGTTTACTGTTAGCAGCAGAATCCGACCGTGAGCCAATTCTCTTCCCCCAAATCAGCAAGGGTCAAAAAGACACTTGACAGACCAGGCAGGGAGGAACAGCTCCTGGGGGCCGCAGCTGGGCTTCGCTGATGTAGAAATGATTCCACACTGAGTCCAAGGGGAAGGATGGAGCAGAGAACGGGAGGAAGCTGAGGGGTTGCCGTGGGGATGACGCTGCCTGGAGATGAGCTGTCATCTTGTGGCAGATGAGCAGGCTGCCCAGGAGGACTCAGCAAGCGCATCTCTACTGACATCAAGGTCAGGAGCCAAGTACAAGGGCAGGGTTTTTAGGGCAGACACAACCTCACAACTCTCTCGCACGCTCATCCAGGGAGAAAATCCAGCCCCACGGAAAGAGGCTGGAGGCAGAGGGCCAAAGGAAGCAAACAGGAATGGTAGAAAGACAGCATTTGTGCAGTCTCTTCAGAAACAGAGACACACCCATCGCTTAAGAAGCAGGATGCTCCATCTTGCACCCTGTCTGTTCTGCAAAGAGGATTTCGGGCAGCAGACGGGACAAGCTGCCAGCGTCTCTGCTGTAAGGATGAGGCGCTGACAAAATGCCAAGGGGATGCTTTCGCATCTGCAGTCCAATGACAGAAACTCGTAGGCGATCAAATGGAAGCAAGGGAGACTCGAGGCAGAGGTGAATGAGGACTCAAGTCAGCAATGAGCTTGACACCCTTTGAAGCGAGTGGAAGGGCAGCTTCCAAAAAGATAGGTCCGTGTGCCAGGCCCTGGTACCTGCAAATAGGACCTTATTTGGAAGTAAGAACTTTGCAGATGTCTTTAGTTAAAGTGCTCCAGATGAAATCATCTTAGATTCAGGTGGACCCTAAATCCAGTGAGCAGCATCCTTTGAAGAGGCAGAAAGCAGGCCGGGCGCAGTGGCTCAAGCCTGTCATCCCAGCACTTTGGGAGGCTGAGGCAGATGGATCACGAGGTCAGGAGTTCCAGACCAGCCTGGCCAATGTGGTGAAACCCTGTCTGTACTAAAAATACAAAAATTAGATGGGTGTGGTGTCGTGCACCTGTAGTCCCAGCTACTCGAGAGGCTGAGGCAGGAGGATTGCTTGAATTTGGGAGGTGGAGGTTGCAGTGAGCCGAGATTGTGCCACTGCACTCCAGCCTGGTGACAGAGAGAGACTCTCTCAAAGAAAAAACAAACAAACAAAAACAGAGACAGAAAAGCAGGCAGAGACACAGAGAAAGCCACGTGGACATGGAGGCAGAGACTGGAGTGATGTGGCCACAGTCCCAGGGACATCTGTGGAGCCCCCAGGAGCTGGGAAAGGCAGGAAGGATGTTCCTCTACAGCCTCTGGGGAGAACTGGATATAATTATACTGGATTGAACATTGGCCCCTAGAAAGATCTGTCCACATCCTAAAGCCCAGAACCTGGCAATGAGACCTTATTTGGAAATAGGGTCTTTGCAAATGTGATTAACAGAAGGATCTTGAGATGAGATCATTCTGGAGTAAGGTGGGCCCTAAGTCTGATGACAGGTGTCCTTCTAAGAGACAGAAGGGGAGACACAGACACAGAGGAGAAGGCCACGTGGAGACAGAGGCAGAGACTGGAGTGATGTGGCCACAAGCCCAGGGACACCTGGAGCCCCCAGGAGCTGGGAGAGGCAGGAAGGACCCTCCCCTAGAGCCTCCAGAGGGAACTGGATACAACTGTACTGGATTGAACAGTTGTCCTGGCAAAAGATATGTCCAGGTTCTGATCCCCAGAATGCATGGATAGCACCTTAATTGGTAGTAAAGCACTTCATATGTGTAATTAGTTAGGGGTCTTGAGATGAGGTCATCCTGAATTAGGGTGGGCTCTAAATGCAATGGCAGGTGTCCTTGTAAGAGACAGAAGAGGAGACACAGACACAGAGGAGAAGGCCACGTGGAGACGGAGGCAGAGACTGGAGTGATGCGGCCACAAGCCCAGGGACAACTGGAGCCCCCAGGAGCTGGGAGAGGCAGGAAGGACCCTCCCCTAGAGCCTCCGGAGGGAGCACAGACCTGCAGACACCTTGATCTCAGACTTCTGGTCTGCAGAAATGGGAGCGAATAAACTTGTGTTCAGCCCTGCAGTTTGTGGTAGGTTTTTATAGCAGCCCTAGGAAAGTAGCATACAGTGTTACAGACTTAGGAGAAAAAGTATTGTATCATCCATGGGTCTCATGCAAATGCACACTTTTATTGGCTACAGACACCTGTCTGTTCAATCATCCACTCCACAGGTTTTATTTATTATTTATTTTTTTGAGACGGAGTCTCACTCTGTTGCCCAGCCTCGAGTGCAGTGGTGCGATCTCAGCTCGCTGCCGCCTCCGCCTCCGAGGTTCAAACGACTCTCTGCTTCAGCCTCCCGAGTAGCTGGGATTACAGGTGACTGCCACCATGTCCAGCTATTTTTTTTTTTTTTTTTGACGGAGTCTTGCTCTGTCGCCCAGGCTGGAGTGCAGTGGAGCGATCTAGGCTCACTGCAAGCTCCGTCTCCCTGTTTCACGCCATTCTCCTGTCTCAGCCTCCGGAGTAGCTGGGACTATAGGTGCCCGCCACCACGCCCAGCTAATTTTTTTTTGTATTTTTAGTAGAGATGGGGTTTCACCGTGTTAGCCAGGATGGTCTCGATCTCCTGACCTTGTGATCCGCCCGCCTCGGCCTCTCAAAGTGCTGGGATTACAGGCATAAGCCACTGCGCCTGGCCCACAGTTTCTTAGTGCCTCCTGAGAGCACGGCTTTTGGCTAAATTGAAGACACCAACTGCACTCCTGGCTGCAAAGGCTTTGAGCTCCAGACTTAATTAATATTCACATATTGATCCTTGTAAGCTCTCAGGGTCCAGGGAGAGCCATGTGGGTCTTCCTAACTTCATACACTTTGCACACAATACACAAGTCTTTCCCAGTGTTTGGCCAGTTCTCTAGTAAGGAGAAGCTGTGTGTGTCGGCTCGGGCTGAGGCTGGGCCAAAGTGTATGGATCTGGGGGGAGGGAGTGAGAATCGGAAGAAAAGTTTGATCAATTCAGGTTGTAGATATAGTTAGTTAGGGATCTTGAGAAGAGGTCATCCTGGATTAGCGTAAACCCTAAATTGAAAGGCCAATGTCCCTGTAAGGCACAGAGGAAGGGACCGGGCATCGTGGCTGACACCTGTAATTCCAGCACTTTGGGAGGCCGAGGCAGGCAGATTGCCTGAGGTCAGGAGTTCGAGACCAGCCTGGCCAACATGGAGAAACCCCATCTCTACTAAAAATACAAAATTGGCCGGGCGTGGTGGTGCATGCCTGTAATCCCAGCTATTCCGGAGGCTGAGGCAGGAGAATCACTTGAACCCGGGAGGTGGAGGTAGCAGTGAGCCGAGGTCGTGCCATTGCACTCCAGCCTGGGCAACAAGAGCAAAACTCCTCTCAAAAAAAAAAAAAAAAAAAAAGAGACAGAGGAGGAGACACAGACACAGAGGAGGAGGTCACATGGAGACAGAGGCAGAGACTGGAGTGATGTAGCCACAAGCCCAGGGACGCCTGGAGCCCCCAGGAGCTGGGACAGGCAGGAAGGATCCTCCCCTAGAGCTTCTGGAGGGAGCATTTCCTTGAGACACCTTGATCTCAGACTAGGGAATTTTGTCTAGACTGGCAATGGGACAAGAAATTCAGCTCATCATTTACTAGACAAAGGTGGGAAATTCGGAGGTTTTGGATCTGGCTTTGTCTTAAGTAGAAAAAGAGACATCCACAAGCCTTATATGTAAGGCCTATGAGGAAGGGAACTCTTTGGAATAAGGTATTTTCTGGAAGACAAACAAAGGTCAGGGTATTTCTTGGTTAGGATGTTTTCCAGGAGCATAGGTGCTGTGGTCTGAATGTTTCTGCCCCTTCACATTCCTCTTTTGAAATCCTAATTCTCCAGGTGATGATATGAGGAGGTGGGGCCCTTGGGAGGTGACGAGGTCGTGAGGGAGGAACCTCATGAATGGGATGAGTGCCTGGGTGAGTCCATTTTATGTTGCTATAAAGGAATGCCAGCTGGATGTGGTGGCTCACGCCTGTAATCCCAGCACTTTGGGAGGCCAAGGTGAGTGGATCACCTGAGGTCAGGAGTTCGAGACCAGCCTGGCCAACACGGTGAAACCATGTCTCTACTAAACATACAAACAATTAGCCAGATGTGGTGGTGGGCACCTGTAATCCCAGCTACTCGGGAGGCTGAGGCAGGAGAATGGCTTGAACCCGGGAGGCAGAGGTTGCAGTGAGCTGAGACTATGCCACTGCACTCCAACCTGGGTGACAGAGAAGACTCCATTCAAAAACAAAAACAAAAACAAAAAAGGAATGCCTGAGGCTGGGTAACTTATAAAGTGAAGAGATTTATTTGGCTCACAGTTTTGCAGACTGCACAAGGAACACCAACGTTGACTGCTAGTGAGGCTCTCAGGAAGATTTCAACCGTGGTGGAAGGTGAAGAGCAGCTGGCACGTCACAGGGTGAGAGAGAAGACAGGAGGGAGAAGGCAGGGAGGTGTCAGGCTCGTTTTAGCAACCCGATCTCAAGTAGCCAAATGTCCAACAATGATAGACTGGATTAAGAAAATGTGGCACATATACACGATGGAATCCTATGCAGCCATAAAAAAGTATGAGTTCATGTCCTTTGTAGGGACATGGATGAAGCTGGAAACCATCATTCTCAGCAAACTATCGCAAGGACAAAAAACCAAACACCGCATGTTCTCACTCATAGGTGGGAATTGAACAGTGAGAACACATGGACACAGGAAGGGGAACATCACACACCAGGGCCTGTTGTGGGGTGGCGGGAAGGGGGAGGGATAGCATTAGGAGATATACCTAATGTAAATGATGAGTTAATGGGTGCAGCACACCAACATGGCACATGTACACGTATGTAAGTAACCTGCACGTTGTGCACATGTACCCTAAAACTTAAAGTATAATAAAACATAAAAAAATAAAAAAAAACTCCGGAAAAAAAAAAAAGAAATCATCCATTACCATGGGGAGGGCTCCAAGCCGTGTATGAGGAATCCACTTCCGTGACCCACATGCCTCCAGCCAGCCCTACCTCCAACATTGGGAATCAGATTTCAGCGTGAGATTTGGAGGCAACAGATCCGCACACGATTATCAGCGTCCTTATAAAAGAGACCCCACAGAGCTCCCTCGTCTCTTCCACCATGTGAGGACACAGTGGGAAGGTGCCGTCTATGAACCAGGAAGCGAGACCCCACAGAGCTCCCTCGTCTCTTCCACCATGTGAGGACACAGTGGGAAGGTGCCGTCTATGAACCAGGAAGCGAGACCCCACAGAGCTCCCTCGTCTCTTCCACCATGTGAGGACACTGTGGGAAGGTGCCGTCTATGAACCAGGAAGCGAGACCCCACAGAGCTCCCTCGTCTCTTCCACTATGTGAGGACACAGTGGGAAGGTGCCGTCTATGAACCAGGAAGCGAGACCCCACAGAGCTCCCTCGTCTCTTCCACCATGTGAGGACACTGTGGGAAGGTGCCGTCTATGAACCAGGAAGCGAGACCCCACAGAGCTCCCTCGTCTCTTCCACTATGTGAGGACACAGTGGGAAGGTGCCGTCTATGAACCAGGAAGCGAGACCCCACAGAGCTCCCTCGTCTCTTCCACCATGTGAGGACACTGTGGGAAGGTGCCGTCTATGAACCAGGAAGCGAGACCCCACAGAGCTCCCTCGTGTCTTCCACCATGTGAGGACACTGTGGGAAGGTGCCGTCTATGAACCAGGAAGTGGGTTCTCCCCAGGCTCTGAAGCTGCCAAGCCTTGATCTTGGATATTCAGCCTGCAGAACTATGAGCAATAAATGGCTGTTGTTTATAAGCAATGTGATATTTTGTTACAGCAAACTGAAAAGGCTGACACACAGTAGCGGCTCTCAAGTACTTAGAACTGGAGTAACTTAAATGGTAGAAATGGATGCTTCCAGAGGGCAGAATTTTTTTGTTTGTTTGTTTGTGTGTGTGTGTGTTTGTTTTGAGATGGAGTCTTGCTCTGTGGCCCAGGCTGGAGTGCAATGGCATGATCTCGGCTCACTGCAACTTTCGCCTCCCAGGTTCAAGCTATTCTCCTGCCTCAGCCTCGTGAGTAGCTGGGACTACAGGCGCCCGCCACCACACCCGGCTAATTTTTTGTATTTTTAGTAGCGATGGGGTTTCACCGTGTTAGCCAGGATGGTCTCGATCTCCTGACCTTGTGATCCACCTGCCTCAGCCTCCCAAAGTGCTGGGATTACAGGTGCCCGCCACCAAGCCCGGCTAATTTTTTGTATTTTTAGTAGAGACAGGGTTTCACCATGTTGGCCACGATGCCCTCGCTCTCCTGACCTCATGATCCACCTGCCTCGGCCTCCCAAAGTGCTGGGGTTACAGGCATGAGCCACCGCGCCCGGCCTCAGAAGTTTTAAAATCAAGGTGTTAGCGGGGGGTTGGTTTCTTCTGCAGTCTGCAGTAGAACTGGTACCATGCTTCTCTGCTAGCTTCTGGTAGCTCCAGTCATTCCTTGACTTGGAGGTGGTCTTTTCTCCATCTTCAAGTTGTCTTTCCTCAGTGCATGGGTATGTGTGTCTCTTCTCCTCTTCACATAAAAATACTGATCTACAGCTGAGCACGGTGGCTCACACCTGTTATCCCAGCAGTTTGGGAGGCCAAGGCGGGCAGATCATGAGGTCAGGAGATCAGGACCATCCTGGTTAACACAGTGAAACCCCGTCTCTGCTAAAATAAAAAAAATTAGCCAGGTGTGGTGGCACGCACCTGTAATCCCAGCTACCTGGGAGGCTGAGGCAGGAGAATCGCTTGAACCCAGGAGACGGAGGTTGCAGTGAGCTGAGATCACACCACTGCACTCCAGCCTGGGCAACAGAGCGAGACTCTGCCTCAAAAAAAAAAAAAATGCTGATCCTCTCACATTAAGGTCCAGGAGATGTACAGTTGGCAAAGCTGACCGTCTTCAGTGAGATATTATGGTGTAGATATCATCAAACCATTATCCTTTCTCTTATGTTGCCTCTTGAATCATTCAATTTGCCTTCTAAGCCTTTTCAAAAGTCCTAATGAAGCTGCCCAAAGCATTGGTTACTTTATGTGATGTTCATAAAATAAATTAACTCCATTCCTGGGCTAATAATCAAAGAGAGAGATTCATGTCCTTGATCAATAGTTTCAATGATAACATAGGAAGAGGCTTGGTCTGCTGTTAATACAAGGAGCACATAACTTCCTGTATCTAGCAGAAAGCACAGGACCCAACCAAATACAAGATCAAAACTCATCATTTTCAAAGCATTTGCTTGGGGCAAGGACTGTGCCTGACAAGTTGATTACTCAGCTTGTTGCCAGTGGGAAGTTCCTGGTTTTCCTCTTGCATTTTCCAGCTGATCTTCACAGTCACATCGTTATGTGTTCAGACAAGCGGATGGATTCTCAGGTATTCTTGAAAATGAAGTTGAGTGAACCAAAAATGACCCGGGCACTTGTACCCTAAGACCTCTTTCTTTCTCTCTTTCTTGCTTTCTTTGCTTTCTTTCCTTTTCTTTCCCTTCCTCCCTTCCTTTCTTGCTTTCTTCCTTCCTTCCTTCCTTCCTTCCTTCCTTCCTTTCTTTCTTTCTTTTTCTTTTTTTCTCTCCTTCCTTCGTTCATTCCTTCCTTCCCTTCCCTCCCTCCCTCCCTTCCTTCGTTTCCCTTTCCTTTCTCTCTCTCTCTTTCTTTCTCTCTCTCTTTCTCTTTCTTTCTTTCTCTTTCTCTCTCTTTCTTTCTTTCTCTTTTTTCTTTCTTTTTTTCTCTCCTTCCTTCCTTCCTTCCTTCCTTCCCTTCCCTCCTTCCTTCCTTTCTTCGTTTCCCTTCTTTCCTTTCTCTCTCTCTCTTTCTATCTCTTTCTTTCTCTCTCTCTCTCTCTTTCTTTCTTTCTTTCCTTCCTTCCTTCCTTCTTTCCTTCTTTCTCTCTCTCACTCTCTCTCAGAGTCTTGCTCTGTCACCCAGGCTGGAAGTACAGTAGTGCAACTTGGCTCACTGCAGTGTCTGCCTCCCAGGTTCAAGCAATTCTCCTGCCTCAGCCTCTTGAGTAGCTGGGATTATAGGCGTGTGTCACCACACCTGGCTAATTTTTGTATTTTTAGTAGAGACGGGGTTTCACCATGTTGGCCAGGCTGGTCTTGAACTCCCAACCTCAGGTAATCCGCCCACCTCAGCCTCCTAAAGTGCTGGGATAACAGGCGTGAACCACTGCGCCTGGCCTCCCTAAGACGTTTTTAAGGAGTGTTCACCTTTCAAGACTCATTGGAAAATCCCACCATCCAGACAACACTCACGTTGACCTCCGTGATGAAGCACCAACCTGTGTTGGTTGATACTTCCAAACAACAGATCAACTCTCTGTCAGGCTGAAAGGAATCCAGAGCTATAGGGATGTGATGGAGTGACTGACTGGCTTCAACGACTGGACAATGGATTACATCGAGGACTTTAGGGCAACTTATCTATTCTAGTTCTAATTCCAGTTCAGATTCCACTACGTTTCAGCACAGTGCCTCATCTTAATAGTCTCCATGAACTTCAAAACAATCTTTGCCGCGTTTCAATTCTACTTCCAGGGACTTTAAGAGCGTGGCTTGTATGTAGTGTGATAATGACAGAACATCCTCGGTGTAAGAGTTAAAGAGGGCCAGGCACGGTGACTCACACCTGTCATCCAGCACTTTGGGAGGCCGAGGCGGGTGGATCATGAGATCAGGAGATCGAGACCATCCTGGCTAACACGGTGAAACCGTGTCTCTACTAAAAATACAAAAAAGCCGGGTGTGGTGGCGGGCGCCTGTAGTCCCAGCTACTAAGAGGCTGAGGCAAGAGAATGGCGTGAACCCAGCAGGCGGAGCTTGTGGTGAGCCGAGATCGCACCATTGCACTCCAGCCTGGCCACTGAGTGAGACTCTGTCTCAACAACAACAACAAAAAAAGAGTTTAAAGAAAGAGAAAAGAAACACGGAAAGCAACTCAACAGTCAAAGACAGGTTTATTTTGGAGGATAAATATGAGACGGGCTTCTGGCTGATTTCGGTCAGGAGCGTTCTTTCTTAATAGATCAAGGGTATTTAAGGGTTTAGGAAGGGGGGAGGTTATCACGTGTTCGGAATGTTTGTACGTGAGGGGAAAGTTTATTTTGGGACCGGAATGTCTCTGGTCAGAGGGGAGGCTATCTCAGGGTTGGCATGTTTCTGCTTGGAAGTGGGTTTATCTTAGGGATGGAATGTTTCTGGTTATGCTGACATTAGCCATTAGGCTGATGTTTGGGGGCTGGATTTGGGCGATTTTTTAATCAAGGGAAACTTCAAATGGCAGTGTTTGTCTAAGAGGGTGAGGCTCCTGCTTTGCCACTTAGGAAGCTCTGAAAGGTCTCATGGGGTGGCCTGGTGAATTTCCCTGGCATCTGAGAAGCGGTTCTCGTTCCAGCTCCCCTAAAATTGAAAAGGCTGCCTTTTTTTAAAAAATTGTTTTATTTTATTTTATTTATAAAATTTATTTATTTATTTATTTATTGCTTCTCAGGCTGTGAAGGACTGGCGGATAGTCAACCATCCGTCCAAGCTCCATTCCACCTCTTGGCTTGAGCTTGGCTTGAGGAATCCCTCCACCATGTCACTTTACAGCCTTCTGGTCGAATCCGGGAACATTCCACTGACCTTGCATTTTTTCCTCCTGCTGAGTCTCCTGACTCACCAAGTCCCGGGCCAACCAAAATGGCCGAGGCCACAGGGAGCATGGACCAGGCCACCCATGAGACTATCATGGGCAGGTACTCTTTCTCAAGCATCTAATTTTTTTTTCCTGCCTCCTTTTGACCTAACCATGTTTCTCACTGCCATTTGCTCATCTCTGCTTTGGACAGCTTCTGACCCATTGCTCAGACAATAATATGGTTCTTTTTTTTTTTTCTTTTTTTTTGGATGGAGTCTCGCTCTGTTTCCGGGCTGGAGTGCAGTGGCATCATCTCGGCTCACTGCAACCTCCGCTTCCTGAGTTCAAGTGATTCTCCTGCCTCAGCCTCCCGAGTAGCTGGGATGACAGGCACATGCCACCATGACTGGCCAATTTTTGTATTTTTAGTAGAGACGGGGTTTCACCATGTTGGCCAAGATGGTCTCGATCTCTTGACCTCCTGATCCTCCCACCTCGGCCTCCCAAAGTGCTGGGATTACAGGCGTGAGCCACCATACTCAGACAATAATATGGTTCTTTCTCCTTTCCCACAGAGATCACCTACCAGCTTGGACCAATCATTTGGGCCCCAGGTAGAGGCCTCTAGGTCTATAGCTGCAGGTTTGGAGTGATGAAGCCCGGTAGATAGACAAAGCTCCCAGCGCCATCCTGAGACACACTGATGTTCCCCTGGCTCTCTGAAGCCTCTGTCACAGTTCCTCCAGCTGAGCTAGCTCTCCATACCTCTGGCCACCCCATAGCAACCCTCAGTTCCCCCATACGCTCCCTACTCAAAGTGTGGTCTATGGACCAGTGGTATTCGCATCACTGGGTACCTTACTAGACATTCAGCATCTCAGGCTTCCCTAGATCCACTGAGTCAGAATTCCAGTTTCACAAGCACAAGGAAGGTTTGAGAGCCGCCATGCTGGCCATCCTGCCCATGGTGGGAGACAGCTGTTGAATCCTATCAAGGAATCCGAGATGGTGGTTAGTTGTGTAACCTGTTTCTTGCTCTTCTGACAGAATTCCCGCAGTGGCCCACGCCTGTCATCCCACCACTTTGGGAGGCCGAGGTGGGCGGATCCCTTGAGGTCAGGAGTTTGAGACCAGCCTGGCCAACATGGTGAAACCCCGTCTCTACTAAAAATACACAAATTAGCCGGGCGTGGAGTCTGAGGCAGGAGAATCTTTTGAACCTGGGAGGCGGAGGTTGCGGCGAGCTGAAATCATGCCACTGCACTCCAGCCTGGGCAAGATAGTAAGACTCTCTCTCAATAATAATAATAATAATAATAATAATAAAATAAATAAATGCACACACTGCCTTTAGAAAACCCTCTAGTGTGCAAGTCGAGTCACAGACAGAAAGGCTAAGGAGGTTTTTGGTTGGGAGAGATTTTTTCCTTTTCTTTTTTTTTTTTTTTTTGAGACGGAGTCTCACTCTGTCACCCAGGCTGGAGTGCAGAGGTGTGATCTCGGCTCACTGCAAGCTCCGCCTCCCGGATTCACGCCATTCTCCTGCCTCAGCCTCCCGAGTAGCTGGGACTACAGGCACCCGCCATCACACCCAGCTAATTTTTTGTACTTTTCTTTTTTGTATTTATTTATGTTTTTGAGACGGAGTCTGGCTCTGTCACCCAGGCTGGAGTGCAGTGGCGCGATCTCGGCTCACTGCAACCTCTGCCTCCCGGGTTCAAGCCATTCTCCTGCCTCAGCCTCCGGAGTAGCTGGGACTACAGGCATCTGCCACCACACCCGACTAATTGTGGTATTTTTAGTAGAGACGGGGTTTCACCATGTTGGTCAGGCTGATCTCGAACTCCTGACCTCGTGATTCACCAGCCTCAGCCTCCGAAAGGGCTGGGATTACAGGCATATGCCACCATGCCCAGCCCATTTTGTGCTTTTCAATGTGTATCGTACAAGGGTTGAATTTCAACCAGGTGCCAGAGTTAACACGGTAGTTGTTTATACTATTGGTCACGTCCTCTGGGGGGTTTTCTTCAAGTGAGTGAACAAAGCTATGCAGGAATTTAAGGCAGGGAAGAGCACCATGCTGTTTCATTCCAATCTATAGCTTTCCACATTGCCACCCATCTGCCAGCCTCCAGCAAAGAAACCATCCGTCAATGCAAAAGCATCGCCCACACATATCCCATTTCTGCCTTGAAACTGTCTCTGGTGGGCCGGGCGCGGTGGCTCACGCCTGTCATCCCAGCGCTTTGGGAGGCCGAGGCGGGCGGATCACGAGGTCAGGAGTTCGAGACCAGCCTGATCAGGAGTTCGAGACCAGCCTGGCCAACATGGTGAAACCCCGTCTCTATTAAAAATACAAAAATTAGCCAGGCACGGTGGTGCACACCTGTAATCCCAGCTACTCAGGAGGCTGAGGCAAGAGAATTGCTTGAACCCGGAGGCAGAGGTAACAGTGAGCCAAGATCGTGCCCCTGCTATCCAGCCTGGGTGACGGAGCGAGAGTCCATCTCAAAACACGAAAACAAAAAAAACAAAAAAAAAGAAAAGAAACTGTCCCTGGTACCGTCTTCTGGTGTTGAGGAAGTTGCCCTTAAAAATAATGTTGCGGGGGCTGGGCGCGTTGCCTCATGCCTGTAATCCCAGCACTTGGGAGGCCGAGATGCGTGGATTACTTGAGGTCAGGAGTTCCAGACTAGCCTGACCAATATGGCAAAACCTCTACTAAAAAGACAAAAAAAATTAGCCAGACATGGTGGCACATATCTGTACTCCCAGCTACTTGGGAGATGGTGGCAGGAGAATTGCTTGAACCCGGGAGGCAGAGGTTGCAGTGAGCCAAGATCACACCACTGCACTACAGCCTAGCCAACAGAATGAGACTCCATTTCAAAGAAAAAAAGGTATGTTGTGGTCTGCACATTAACTACAAACGTAAAAACAGCCAGAAATGATGTTGAAAGGAATCCCGTACAATGAGTACAGAAAGAATTTTCTACTAAAGAAAACAAAGAAAAACAAAAAGACAAAAATCTAGGTCTCCGGGTGTGGTGGCTCGCGCCTGTAATCCCAGCACTTTGGAAGGCAAAGGCAGGTGGATCACCTGAGGTCAGGAGTTCGAACCAGCCTGGCCAACATGATGAAACCCTGTCTCTACTAAAAAAGAAAAAAAAATACAAAAATTGGCCAGACGTGGTGGTAGGCACCTGTAATCCCAGCTGCTCAGGAGGCTGAGGCAGGAGAATCACTTGAACCCGGGAGGCAGAGGTTGCAGTGGGCCAAGACCACACCACTGCACTCCAGCCTGGGCTATACAGAGAGACTCCCTCTCAAAACAAAAATGATAATAATAATAAATAATCTAGGTCATCTACAGAGTCTGCTTTGTATTAATCAAGTTGTCATGAAAAGAAAAAACTTGAGAAAAATGCAGACAGTGAACACATTATGGATAGATGGGATTTGCTATGGCAGTAGATTTTTGGATCAATGTATTGTATTGCACTCTACCTACTGGATTTCCTCTTCTCAGAAAATCCAAAAAACACACAGAAGAAGGTATAATGATTCAAACAGCAAATTAAAGATCAATGGATTTTTTTTTTGCCAACATTTCCTGGACTGTTATTGATATGAATGTACTTGAGTCCACTATTTCTACAATCATCAAGCACTCCTTAAAGAAAAACATAAACCCAGTTATTTTTCTGTATTTATAAGACTCTAAGGATATGCTTCTGGCTTGCACAAAAGCCACAGAACAGAGTGTGATTGATGGGAGCTGTAACAGGGCTGCTGGCTGCTTAGAATTGACAAAGGCGGGAGAAGATGTGGAGAAATAGGAACGCTTTTACACTGTTGGTGGGAGTGTAAACTAGTTCAACTATTGTGGAAGACAGTGTGGCAATTCCTCAGGGATCTAGAACTAGAAATACCATTTGAACCAGCCATCCCATGACTGGTTATATACCCAAAGGATTATAAAATTTTTGCAATCTACCCATCTGACAAAGGGCTAATATCCAGAATCTACAAAGAACATTAACAAATTTACAAGAAAAAACAAACAACGCCATCAAAAAGTGGGCAAAGGATCAGAACAGACACTTCACAAAAGAAGACATTTATGCAGCCAACAGATACATGAAAAAATGCTCATCATCACTGGCCATCAGAGAAATTCAAATCAAAACCACAATGAGATACCGTCTCACACCAGTTAGAATGGCAATCATTAAAAAGTCAGGAAACAACAGGTCCTGGAGAGGATGTGGAGAAATAGGAACGCTTTTACACTGTTGGTGGGACTGTAAACTAGTTCAACCATTGTGGAAGACAGTGTGGCGATTCCTCAGGGATCTAGAACTAGAAATACCATTTGACCCAGCCATCCCATTACTGGGTATGTACCCAAAGGACTATAACTCATGCTGCTATAAAGACACATGCACACGTAAGTTTATGGCGGCACTGTCCACAATAGCAAAGACTTGGAACCAACCCAAATGTCCATCAATGATAGACTGGATTAAGACAATGTGGCACATAGACACCATGGAATACTATGCAGCCATAAAAAAGGTTGAGTTCATGTCTTTGCAGGGACATGGATGAAGCTGGAAACCATCATTCTCAGCAAACTATCGCAAGGACAGAAAACCAAACACCACATGTTCTCACTCATAGGTGGGAATTGAACAATGAGAACACTTGGACACAGGGTGGGGAACATCACACACCGGGGCCTGTGGTGGGGTGAGGGGCTAGGGAGGGAGAGCATTAGGAGATATACCTAATGTAAACGACGAGTTAATGGGTGCAGCACACCAACATGGCACATGTATACCTATGTAACAAACCTGCACGTTGTGCACATGTACCCTAGAACTTAAAGTATAATAATAATAAAAAATTGACGAAGGTGGAGAACCACATCTTTGGGCAAACAATACTAGCTTGCATTCACCTCCATCTTCAACCAAGAATCTGATTTTCTGGGCACAGTGGCTCATGCTTGTAATTGCAGTAACTTTGGGAGGCTGAGGTGCAAGGATCACTTGAACCTAGGAGTTGGAGACCAGCCTGGGCAACGTAGTGAGACCTCAGCTCTACCAAAAATGATAAAATTAGCCAGGCACAGTGGCGCATGCCTGTAGTCCCAGCTACTAGGGAGGCTGAGGCAGGAGGATTGCTTGAGGCAGGGAGTTTGAGATTGCAGTGAGCTGTGAGTGTGCCACTACGCTCCAGCCTGGACAACAGAGAAAGACCCTGTCTCAAAAAAGAAAAACAAACAAACAAGAAAGGAATCTTCACCGGGTGCAGTGGCTCACACCTATAATCCCAGCACTTTGGGAGGCAGAGGAGGGCAGATCACCAGAGGTCGGGAGTTCGCAACCAGCCTGGCCAATATGGTGAAACTCTGTCTGTACTAAAAATAAAAATAAATCAGCTGGGTGTGGTGGTGCACATTTGCAATCCCAGCTACTTGGGAGAGTGAGGTGGGAGAATCGCTTGAACCCAGGAGGCGGAGGTTGCAGTGAGCCGAGATCGCACCACTGCACTCCAGCGTGGGTGCGACAGATCGAGACTCCATCTCAAAAAACAAACAAAAAACAAAAACAATAACAACAACAAAAAGAAAGGAATCTTATTTCTTAGGCTGAGTGTGTACACTCCATATCAAAGCTATTTATGTGGTGGTCCCTGCTGCTCTGATGTTTGTGAGACAGAACGTTGAAATATAAATATCTGGCCAGGTGCGGTGGCTCACACCTGTCATCCCAGCACTTTGGGAGGCCAAGGCGGGTGGGTCACGAGGTCAGGAGATCGAGACCATCCTGGCTAACACAGTGAAACCCCGTCTCTACTAAAAATACAAAAAAATTAGCCGGGAGTGGTGGTGGACGCCGGTAGTCCCAGCTACTCGGGAGGCTGAGGCAGGAGAATGGCTTGAACCCGGGAGGCGGAGCTTGCAGTGAGCCGAGATTGTGCCACTGCACTCCAGCCTGGGTGACAGAGCTAGACTCGGCCTCAAAAAAAAAAAAAAAAAAAAAAAAAAAAAGAAAGAAAGAAAGAAAAGAAAAAAAGAAAAGAAATATAAATATCTGTGCTTTTTAAAAATTTTTCCCTATGTCCTTGTGACAGTCAGTGACAGTTCTCTAGGCCGTGTAGGAAGGAGGAGATGGGGACAACCCCATGAATTAAGTATCACAGCTCTTCTCCCCCACTTCCAAAACCCACTGCCTGGTCATGGAGCAGGCGTTGGGGGGCCTGTCTCTTGGAGCGGTTCAGGAAGATGACCTTCGCCGTGACACCACGTCTAATCCCCCTCCCCGCTCTGTGCCATCTTCCAACCAGAACTGGGGTACAGTCTGTCTAATTCTGGGGTTCAGCTCCTTGTATAATAGCTGCCTCTCTAAACCACATGCTCCCATGTAGCCTGGGCAGGCCATTACCCCCTGGCTAATTTCTCTGCATCTCCCTTCCTTTCTCTTCCTCATTTGCTCCAAAGGGTTTGGAAAGGGCTCTCCCGGTGCGTCTTCACATTCTAGCGATTGCAATTGTCAGCACAGAACAAAACAGCCTAGAACCAGTCGCTTCAAGAATGTTTAATAATATGGCCCCAAGAAAATGTGTGAATTTTTTTTTTTTTTTTTTTGAGACAGAGTCTCGGCTCACTGCAACCTCTGCCTCCCAGGTTCAAGCGATTCTCCTGCCTCAGCCTCCCGAGTAGCTGGGATTACAAGTGTAAGCCACCACACCCGGCTAATTTTTGTATTTTTAGTAGAGATGGGGTCTCACCATGTTGGCCAGGCTGGTCTTGAACTCCTGACTTCAGGTGATCCACCCACCTCGGTCTCCCAAAGTGTTGGGATTACAGGCGTGGGCCAGCGCACCTGGCCAGATTTTTTTTTTAAATAAATCCTTAGTATGGCCCTTACCGACTTTTCCCCTATATCATGCCTGGGACGAGTAGCTCATCTTGCTTCCAGAATCCATGCACGGCAACTTTGTCAAAAGCTGCCTTGTTTTTTGGCAGCCATGCAGGAAAGCCAGGCTGATTGCTGATGTGGGAATGGTACCAGCAATTTGTTCTCTTTGCGAAGGAAAATCACTATGTTGGTTTTCCAGCGTGATTGTTCTTTTGGAGTCTGTCTCATCCAGAAAACAAAACAAAAAAAAGCACCTCACCTCCAAAACGCCACCACCCTCTCGAAAGGCAAAAAAGCTCCCGTCCCTAAACGTGCTTAAATTTTCCTGTTAAGGTGAGTGCTATGAAAAGGTGTCGACGTAACACTGCAACATTGCTGCACATTTTCAAAACAGTTTATTCTTCCTAGTTATCAAACCAACAGTACATGCAAGACCAGCTCCTTGCCAATGGGAGTTTGAGGCCCAGTTGAATTTTTGGAATCATCTCAGAAGTTTCCTTATTTTATTTTATTTATTTTACAGTTTTTTGAGATGGACTCTCGCTCTGTCGCCCAGGCTGGAGTGCAGTGGCGCGATCTCTGCTCACTGCAACCTCCACCTCCCAGGTTCAAGCGATTCTCCTGCCTCAGCCTCCTGAGTAGCTGAGACTACAGGCGCCCGCCACCACGCCCGGCTAACTTTTTTTTTGTATTTTTACTAGAGACGGGGTTTCACCGTGTTAGCCAGCATGGTCTTGATCTCCTGATCTCGTGATCCGCCCGCCTCAGCCTCCCAAAGTCCTTTCCTTTCTTATGACTTAAATTTAAAACCACTTATTAAGACCAAGCACAGTGGCTCACGCCTGTAATTCCAGCACTTTGGAAGGCCGAGGCGAGTGGATCACCTGAGGTCAGGAGTTCAAGACCAGCCTGGCCAACCTGGCAAAACCCCATTTCTAGTAAAAATACAAAAATTAGCCGGGCATTGTGGCGGGCGCCTGTAATCCCAGCTACTCGGGAGGCTGAGGCAGGAGAATCGCTTGAACCTGGGAGGCAGAGGTTGCAGTGAGCCAAGATTGCGTCACTGCACTCCAGCCTGGGTGACAGAGCGAGACTCTGTTTCAAAAAAAAATAAATAAACAAATAAAATTACATATTTAAAAAGCAGTTCCTTGGTATGAGGTTTTAATTTGTGTTTAGACGTTACCTTCATTGTTCTTTCTCACAGAAAAGCCTCAGAGAATGCTTGTTATTATTGGATCCAATTTTGAAGTAAAAAAAAAAAAAAAGTAGGAAATAAAAGAATGAGGCCAGTAACAAAGCTTGGGCTGCATATTTTACAGCTGCCAATTTAAAAATCAATTTCAATTTTTTGATGTTTTCATTGTTTTATTTTTATTGATATTTATTTATTTAGAGACAGAATTTCATTCTTATTGCCCAGGCTGGAGTGCAGTGGTGCAATCTCGACTCACTGCAACCTCCTCCCCCTGGGTTCAAGCGATTCTCCTGCCTCAGCCTCTCGAGTAGCTGAGACTGCAAGAGTGCACCACCACGCCTGGCTAATGTTTGTATTTTTAGTGGAGATGAGGTTTCGCCATATTGGCCAGGCTAGTCTCGAACTCCTGACCTCAGGTGATCCGCCCGCCTCGGCCTCCCAAAGTGCTGGGATGACAGGCTTGAGCCACCATGCCTGGCCTGTTCTCATTGTTTTAAATAATGCAGTGTAATCTCTTAAAATTTTAAAATAATGCACTTTGTGTTAATAATACAAATAAGAATTGCATCTATTTATGGCATGCAACATGATGTTTTGATACAAATACACATTGTGGAATAACTAAATCAAGCTAAACTAAATCCTTCCTGCCTCTCCCAGCTCCTGGGGGCTCCAAGTATCCCTGAGTTAGTCTGCGGTTACATCACTCCAGTCTCTGCCTCCCTCTGCAAGTGGCCTTCTCCTCTTTGTATCCAACTTTTCCCCCTCTTATAAGGCACCAGCCCTTGCATTAGGGCCCTCCTGAATCCAGCATGACCTCCTCTTAACCAAGTACCTTTGCAATGACCCTACTTTTTGATAAGCTCTACATTCAAGATTCTGCGTGAATGTGGATTTCATAGGAGGACCTTGCTCAACCCAGTATAATCATTTTCCAAGTTTTGACTTTCCATCTCAAACACAGTTCCCAGGCCTTTGCATTTTGTATCTTCTCCAAATTTTTTTTTGTTTTTTTAAAGACATAGCCTCACTTTGTCTCCCAGGCTGGAGTGAAGTAGCGCGATCTTGGCTCACTGCAACCTCCGCCTCCTGGGTTCAAGCAGTTCTTCTGCCTCAGCCTCCCAAGTAACTGGGATTATAAGCATGCGCCACCACACCCGGCTAATTTTTGGCATTTTTAGTAGAGACGGGGTTTCACCATGTCGCCCAGGCTGGTCTTGAACTCCTGACCTCAAGTGATCCGCCAGCCTTGGCCTCGCAAAGTGCTGGGATGACCAGCACTATTAATTTTTTAAGAGATGGTGTCTTGCTCTGTATGTAGCCAAGGCTGGAGTGGAGTAGCATGATCAGGGCCTCTACTTCATAAGCTCAAACAATCCTCCTGCCTCAGCCTCCTGAGTAGCTGAGACTACAGGCATGCACCACCATGTCCAGCTAAATTCTAAAAATTTTTTGCAGGCTGGGTGCGGTGGCTCACACCTGTAATCCCAGCACTTTGGTACAGCATAGGAAATGCATGCCCTTTTCTCTGTCCACTAAACCTACCCTGGCCCTGCCTCTGTGAATATTTTGCTGCCTTTCCTGCCATCTTGGGATGGACTGGTCAGCGGAATCTGGGAGGACTCATGACTTTCTTCTTGGTGCACTGTCTCTCCTAGTTTTCCATCACTCTTTTTCTTTTCTTTTCTTTTCTTTTTTTGAGACGGAGTCTCTCTCTGTCGCCCAGACTGGAGTGCAGTGGTGTGATCTTGGCTCACGGCAACAACCTCCGCCTCCTGGGTTGAAGTGATTCTCTTGCCTCAGCTTCCCAAGTAGCTGAGCTTACAGGTGCCCGCCGCCATGCCTGGCTAATTTTTGAATTTTTAGTAGAGACAGGGTTTCATCATATTGGTCAGGCTGGTCTTGAACTCCTGACCTCAGGTGATCCACCCACCTCAGGTTCCCAAAGTGCTGGGATTACAGGTGTGAGCCGCTGTGTCTGGCCCCATCACTCTTTCTTTGCTCACTCCTTATTCTTCTTTCTTGAGGATTCAGTCTCCTCCGTCTGACTTTTAACCATCTTTTTTTTTTTTTTTTTTTGAGACGGAGACTTTCTCTGTCACCAGGCTGGAGTGCAATGGCATGATCTAGGCTCACGGCAACCTCTGCCTCCTGGGTTCAGGTGATTCTCCTGCCTCAGCCTCCCACATAGCTGGGACTACAGGCATGTACCACCATGTCCGGCTAATTTTTGTATTTTTACTAGAGGTGGGGTTTCTCCATGTTGGCCAGGGTAGTCTCGATCTCTTGATCTCGTGATCCACCCGCCTCGGCCTACCAAAGTGCTGGGATGACAGGCGTGAGCCACCATCTTAATTTCCTTAAGGTGAGTCCTAGACCTTCCTTGCCGTGTGCTGCTGGACGCAATTTTGTCTTCACTCACAGCACGATCCACCAATGACTCTCACACAAGTATCTCTGCCCAGCTGGCTCTACCTCTGCAAATCTCATTGCTTTCTCAACAGCGAACCTTGAATGAGTCCCGGGTATGTCTGAAACAACCCCCTAGACTATCCTCCGTGTCTCTCTCTGTTTGCAGGGCTATAGATAAGTACCTCAAGCTGGGTAATTTACAAAGAAAAGAAGGCTGGGAGCAGTGGCTCACACCTGTCATCCCAGCACTTTGGGAGGCTGACACGGGTGGATCGCTTGAGGTCGGGAGTTCTAGACCAGCCTGGCCAACATGGTGAAACCCCATCTCTACTAAAAATACAGAAAAAAAAAAAAAAAAAAAAGCTGGGCATGGTGGCAGGTGCCTGTAATCCCAGCTACTTGGGAGGCTGAGGCAGGAGAATTGCTTGAACCTGGGAGAAGGAGGTTGCAGTGAGCTGACATCATGCCACTGCACTCCAGCCTGGGCAACGAGAGCGAAACTTCATCTGAATGAATGAATGAATGAATCAATCAATCAATCATTCAATCAATGAAATAAAGGTTTATTTGGCTCCCAGTTCTACAGGGTACACAGGAAGCATGGCGCCCACATCTGCTTCTGATGAAAACCTCAGGAAACTTCCACTCCTGGTGGAAGGGGACAGAGAGCTGGCGTGTACAGAGAACACACAGCACAAGAGACACAGCTGAGGTGCCGGGCTGTTTTCAAAAGCCAGCTCTTCTGGGAACTAAAAGTAAGAAATGCCCATCAATGATAGACCGGATAAAGAAAACGTGGCACATAGACACAATGGAATGCTATGCAGCCATAAAAAAGGATGAGGCCATGTCCTTTGCAGAGACATAGATGAAGCTGCAAACCATCATTCTCAGTAAACTAACACAGGAACAGAAAACCAAACACCGCACATTCTCACTCATAAGTGGGAGTTGAACAATGAGAACACATGGACACAGGGAGGGGAACATCACACACTGGGGGCCTGTCAGGGGGTGAGGGGCTAGGGGAGGGGGAGCATTAGGAGAAATACCTAATGTAGATGATGGGTTGATGGGTGCAGCAAACCACCATGGCACATGCATACCTATGTAACAAACCTGCACGTTCTGCACATGTATCCCCAGAACTTAAAGTGTAATAAAAAATAAAAATAAAATAAATTAAGTAAGAACCCACTCACTGTCTTGAGAATGGCACCATGCCATTCATGAGGGATTTAACCCCATGACCCAAACACCTCCCGCCAGGCCCCGCCTTCAACACTGGAGATCAGATTTCCACATGAGACTTGGTGGGACCAGACAAACTATATCCAAACCAGAGAATGTCCAAAGTTGATCGTCTCCAGGAATCCCTGTGTTAGGAAATCAGATTGGGTAAGCCAGAATCTCACAGTCAACTTATCCACATGCCACGACGTGGAGAGAAAAAACAGAATCCATCTTTTAGTCTTCTTAGGAAGGAGAAAACTTTCCCCCAAAGCTGTACCCACAGGAGAAGGTCTCTCCCATATTATTGGACAGGGTTCAGTTGCATGTGCTTTTCTAAATCAATCATTGCTGAAGGATCAGCCCTGGAGGGCAGGTAGAAGCAGCCTCCTTGCGGCACAGACTCAGAAAGGAGGAGGCTGGGCGCAGCGGCTCATGCCAGTAATCCCAGCACTTTGGGAGGCTGAGACAGGTGGAGCTCCTGAGGTCAGGAGTTCAAGACCAGCCTGGCCAACATGGTGAAACGCTGTCTCTACTAAAAATACAAAAAATGTTTAGCCAGGTGTGGTGGCGCGTGCCTGTAATCCCAGCTACTTGGGAGGCTGAGGCAGGAGAATCGCTTGAACCTGGGAGGCGGAGGCTACAGTGAGCTGAGATTGCGCCACTGCACTCCGGCTTGGGCAACAAGAACAAAACCCCGTCTCAAAAAACAACAACAACAACAAAAAAAAAAAAAAAAAAAAAGGAGAGACAGAGAAAAGATGAACAAATCAGAGATCTGTTCAGAAGAGGAGGATGCATTTCACAGGCAATGTCCATCCTACAGAGACCCCACTAGCTTTGTTATCTTTATTGCCCCCACCTGCTTGGCAGCAATATTGCTACAGCTGTTAAGTTTCTGCGCTCTTGTAGACGGATCTCAGAAACAGAGACCTCTGCATTTACAAGACGAATGTTTCCAAATGTGCATCGAATTGGATTTTTTAGAGGCGTGGAGATTTAAATCTGATGTACAAAAGCATTTCTTCAGAGCTTAATTACAAATTTACCCCAAAGGATTTATTTCTGACACATTTCATTTCTTCATCCAAATATCCAGAAAGTGGAAAACAGAGAGCTGTGTGCATAGCTTTGATTATGTCAGCATCTAAATCAAGACACTTGTTTGGTTTTAAATTAGTGGAAATTTGGCTTTTGTAGGGAAAAAAAAACACGAAAACATCGTTTGGGGAAAGAACTTCATCTGGAGTCAGAAAATTGTCATCAGTTAAGGAGAAATAAATACCTCAAATTTGCCACATGAAAATGGATGTTATGGTAAATTTAGTCTATTTTTTCTTCCAGCAGATAAAAACACAATTTATCAAAGAGGCACTTGGAAAGTTGAAATCACAGCGACAGTTTCAAGAGAGGCAAAAGGATTTTGAATTATTACCTGTGACATCAAGTCAATATATAAAAGAAAAATTTGCCATCTCTGTATATTCCTTGTGAAATATATTTTAGATTATAGTGTTACAGATAAGTACAAACATAAAGATTAAAAAAAAACCCAAGGATGAATGTGAAGAATACATTTCCCCTTCAGGGTAGTAATTACCTCTGAAGAGAGGAGGGGTAAGGGATGATTTGGGGTCTTCAAATATCTTGCACATATACACACACCCATTTCTCCCCCATACAAATACCTTTTGAAAGAGAATGTTAAAATGCAGTCTCCAATAGACACCAAGATAAAACATGTTTGAAATTTCAAGGTGAGATACACATCATCATACATACATTTACAAACAAGAAGAAAAAAATATGAAACCATTCCCTAACTCTTTACCTTTGCTCCACATTTAAAAACTATGAAAACATGCAAACAATTGGTTGTGAAATCTTTTCTTAGAGAAGTTTTGTGCTAAGAGCCTTTTCCCACCCTAGAAGATGCCTGCTTTCTGTATCAGTCAGCTACACCTGAAGTTATGCTGGATAACAAATAGTCCTAAATCTCAATTCTCTACCATAATAAGTATTTATTTCTTTTTTAAATATGTGAGTCTACCAGTCAGCTAGGTTGGTGCAGATATAGGCTGGGTTACCCCAGGCTAAGCTGAAGGTTGGATTCATGTCTATGCCACATACTGTCATCATTTTGGGACCATAGGGTTTGGCTGTGTCCCCACCCAAATCTCATCTTGAACTGTAGCTCCCATAATGCCCACATGCCATGGGAGGAACCAGTGATTATCCTGGGCACATTTTTCTAATGTTGGAATACAGACGCGCAGAGGAAAGGTCCAACCATGTGATAGGGTTTGGCTGTGTTCCCACCCAAATCTCATCTTGAACTGTAGCTCCCATAATGCCCACATGCCATGGGTGGAACCAGTGATTATCCTGGGCACATTTCTCTAATGTTCAAATACAGACGTGCAGAGGAAAGGTCCAACCATGTGATAGGGTTTGGCTGTGTCCCCACCCAAATCTCATCTTGAACTGTAGCTCCCATAATGCCCACATGCCATGGGAGGAACCAGTGGTTATCCTGGGCACATTTTTCTAATGTTGGAATACAGACGTGCAGAGGAAAGGTCCAACCATGTGACAGGGTTTGGCTGTGTCCCCACCCAAATCTCATCTTGAACTGTAGCTCCCATAATGCCCACATGCCATGGGTGGAACCAGTGGTTATCCTGGGCACATTTCTCTAATGTTCAAATACAGACGTGCAGAGGAAAAGTCCAACCATGTGATAGGGTTTGGCTGTGTCCCCACCCAAATCTCATCTTGAACTGTAGCTCCCATAATGCCCACATGCCATGGGAGGAACCAGTGGTTATCCTGGGCACATTTTTCTAATGTTGGAATACAGACGTGCAGAGGAAAGGTCCAACCATGTGACAGGGTTTGGCTGTGTCCCCACCCAAATCTCATCTTGAACTGTAGCTCCCATAATGCCCACATGCCATGGAAGGAACCTGGTGGGAGGTAATTGAATCACGCAGGCTGGTTTTCCCCATGCTGTTCTCGTGATAGTGAATAAGTTTCATGAGATCTGGTGGTCTTCTGCCAAAAACCAGACTGAAGCAATCAATGTCTCCTTAATTGGGAGACATCATGGAGAGTTCCCCTGCGTAAGCTTTCTTGCTTGCCACCATGTAAGACATGCCTCTGCTCCTCCTTCACCTTCAGCCATGATTGTAAGGTCTCCCCAGCCACGTGGAACTGTGAGTCCATTAAACCTCTTTTTTTTTTTTTTTTAATAAATTACGCAGTCTCAGATATGTCTTTATTAGTAGCATGAGAACGGACATAACACACTGTGTCAACCCCTGTTGTGCCTCCACTGAGGCAGAAATTTAAAAAATAATAAGTCCTGCATTTATTCACTCCAAGAAAAGTCAAAGCTAAGGCCCAGAATGTGGCAAGGCAAGGGTTAAAAAAAAAAAAAGAGAGAAAAGAACAAGTTTTCCTCTGCCTACCAGCTCACTTCAAGGATAGTTATAAAGTAACACTGTCACAGTAGCCAAGGCCAAAGGAATGGGCTCCAGACACCCCACCCGCCTTCCAGAGCAAGGTTGAAGGAAAAAAGAGAAAGACAGATTATTTTACTGTTACTCTTTTCCCAGGCTTCTTAAGCATGACTATGTTTTACAAATGTCTGTATTTAGCCAGTTCTTGTTTTTCTTTCAATGCAGCTACAAGGCCACCAGCTATGCAAGGTCACGAGTTATGTTATAAGGCCGCTTATGAAACCCCCGCTCCGTCTTTGTTCAATGCTGAGCTTTTTAAACGCGATTCTGCTGAGCCAGTGTGTACCTAAAAATAAACAAATCCTCCTGTACTCCGTATTGGTCTCTCCGTTCCTCAGTTTACCGCAACAGCACTGACCAACATTCTATAAGCAAAAACAAATCAGATGGCAGTCCAAAGTTAGTGGGGGCAGGAGGCGTGCTTCTCCCGTGGGGCATGAGCCAGAGACCAGTTAGAGAGGAAGAAGAATTGTGAAGAACTAATAGACTCTCCCACACCTAACTTTTAGCCTGGTAAGAGCGGACTTCAGATGACCGACCCTCAGCACTTGATACGTATACCAGACACACTACATTTCCCTCCGTTTGATCAAATTTACATCTCCAAGAGGCTGATGACTTTGGATTTCATCACCCAAGGTTTCTGGAGCTTTTCTATGTGAATTCAGGGAAGGAGAGACACTGACCAGGCCGGGTGTGGTGGCTCACACCTGCCATCCCAGCACTTTGGGAGGCCGAGGCGGGCGGATCATTTGAGGTCAGGAGTTCGAGACCAGCCTGGCCAATATGGTGAAACTCCGTCTCTACTAAAAAGTACAAAAAAATTAGCTGGGGGTGGTGGCGGGCACCTATAGTCCCAGCTACTGGGGAGGCTGAGGCAGGAGAATTTCTTGAATCCGGGAGGCGGAGGTGTCAGTGAGCTGAGATTGTACCACTGCACTCCAGCCTGGGTGATGGAGGGAGACTCCATCTCAAAAAAAAAAAAAAAAAAAAAAGACTCTAACAAGTAATGGAAGGCGGGGAAGGAAAAAGAGTGTTGGATGTTTATTCTCTGGGTCATTCCATGTTTGGACATATATGGATTTATCTGTGTCCTTCATCAACTACGTCTTTTGTTGGGCAGCCTGTCTGCTGCAGAGACCCTTGCTGTTGAATGAGCCTTAACAGTATCTTGACCTCATTGTCTTTTGACCTGGAAGCTCAGGGGTGATGAAACTTCTCTGCTATGTTAGTAAGCTCTGGGAGGATCCGCAGCCACTGGGAATTTTCTTAACCCTTTCCGTTTATCTGTGCAGGCTTTTAAAAATCCTAAATGAGCAAGCTAGCCATTTTCTGCTAAAAACCAGGCTGATGCAATCCATGCTTCCTCAATTGGGAGGTATCGTGGATTTGGGTGTTACCAACATGAAGGGAGAGTGAGAAACCAGCGGATTAATCAACCTGGCAGTGGATTCGCAGAAGAAATAGTGCCTGTTTGTAGAGTTTCTGAAAATCAATCAGTTTCATGGATTGATTAATGTCTTGTACTCTCCTACTGCATTGTGAATGGATTGCTGTTCAGATCTCTTTTCCTGAGATGTTTTTTATGATGATCTTTGGAATTTCGTCTGCCTCTCTCCTATGTTGGATCTTCCCAATCCTATATCCTTGTATTTCTCCTATTTCTTTCTTTTCTTTTTCTCTTTTCCTTTCCTTTCCCCTTCCTTCCTTCCTTTCTTTCTTTTTTTTTCTCTCTCTCTCCCTTTCCTTCCCTTCCCTTTCCTTCCCTTCCGTCCATCTCTCTTTCTCTCTTTCTTTCCTTCCTTCTTTTCTTTCTTTCTTTCCTTCCTTCTTTTCTTTCTTTTTCTTTCTTTCTCTCTTTCTCTTTCTTTCTTTCTTCCCTTCCTTTCCTTTCCTTTCCCTTCCCTTCCTTCCTTCCTCTTTCTTTCTTTCTTTCTTTCTTTCTTTCTTTCTTTCTTTCTTTCTTTCTTTCTTTCTTTCTTCCCTTCCTTTCCTTTCCCTTCCTTCCCTTCCCTTCCTTCCTTCCTTTTCCTTCCTTCCTTCTTTCTTTTTTCTTTCTTTCTTTCCTTCCTTCATGATTATTGTTTCCTTTTCTTCTCCATTTGTAATTTTTAATCACATTTTACATCCTCCTTTCCATATTCATGCCAATGCCTATTTGCATTTACTACTATAATCTTCATAAATCTGTAAACACAGTACAGTTAAATTAAGAATGCATTTCTGCCTCACGGCCTTCATGTCGAATTAACAAGGTAAATCTCCCCTGAGCCGGCAACGTACATACTGATTTCTTCCATTATTATTTCCAAACACGACGTTTCATTTTCATGAATGTTTCTCTCTGGTGGCTTTATCTGTGCTGTGCAGGCTCTCACAGAAATGGTTGTAATTAAAAAAGAATCACAACCATTCTGTATGTGAAGACACTTCATGCCTGAGTTTGAAAGCATAAGAAGATGTAAAAGTGGGTCTTTTGGTGGATTTCTTTTTCTTGCCTTCGGTGTGTACATCGTGAGGAATGACGCGTATATCATCCTGCTTTGGAAGCTGGAAGATGAGCTGCATTGTGTTACTAGCACCCAAGCGAGGCAGACAGATGGCTTCTCTCCCATCGCTCACAGCCTCCAGGGAAAGAGGTTCCCAGCACCTCCCTGAGGGCAATTTAAAATTAAATTGGAGGACACAGAAGCCAACTCCTCGGAGAGCTGTCACTTTTGGAGAACCCCATACGTGACAATGCATAACTTTCCATCAGCGTTCAACACAGCTCAGCAACATTCTTGAAGGCACTTTCTAAAATTTATTCCAACATGTTACAGCCCAAAACCTTCTCCAACGGACGACGTGGCCAAGATGGCCCGTGCTGCCTTGAGTTTCTCTGACTTCCCTGGCTTTGGGAATGCATTTAGAGCCTCCTGGCCAGGTTGCAGCCTGGATTCTATCCATGGAGGCCATGGCAAAGGTCAAGTGTAAGAAAATTATATTGGAGGCCGTGCCCAGTGGCTCCTGCCTGTCATCCCAGCACTTAGGGAGGCCGAGGTGGGTGGATCACTTGAGCTCAGGAGTTGAAGACCAGCCTGGCCCACATGGTGAAACCCTGTCTCTACTAAAATATGAAAATGAGCTGGGAGTGTTGGTGGACACCTGTAGTCCCAGCTACTCGGGAGGCTGAGGCAGGAGAATTCCTTGAACCTGGGAGGCAGAGCTTGCAGTGAGCCGAGATTGTGCCACTGCACTCCAGCCTGGGTGACAGAGCAAGACTCTGTCTCAAAAAGAAAGCAACAAAGAAAGAAAATTATATTGGAGACGAGAGCTGCCACCGTTCCGCTGTCTTCCTCCTAGTCCTTGGGTATGACCAGACATCAGCTCACCTAATCCCTCACTCCCTGTCTCCCAGCCACCTCTTTGAGTCCCAGAGCCGGCTCTTTCACCAACTTGAACTGCAAAGGGTCACAACGAGGTGGTTCTGTTACGTGACCTTACTCCAGCTCCATCTAAGTACCATGTATGACTTTTTAATTTTTTTGGAGACGGAGTCTCGCTCTGTTGCCCGGGCTGCAGTGCAGTGGCATGATCTTGGCTCACCGCCACCTCCGCCTCCCAGGTTCCAGTCATTCTCCTGCCTCAGCCTCCCGAGTAGCTGGGACTACAGGTACCCACCACCATGCCCGGCTAATTTTTGTGTTTTTAGCAGAGACAGGCTTTCACCATGTTGGCCAGGATGGTCTCGAACTTCTGACCTCAAGTGGTCTGCCTGCCTTGACTTCCCAAAGTGCTGAGAGAACAGGCGTGAGCCACCACACCTGGTCTTTTTGTATTTTTAGTAGAAATGGGGCTTCTCCATGGTGGCCAGGCTGTTCTTGAACTCCTGACCTCAGGTGATCTGCCTGCTTTAGCCTCCCAAAGTGCTGAGATGACAGGCGTGAGCCACCACACCTGGCCTTTTTGTATTTTTAGTAGAGACGGGGTTTCTGCATGTTGGCCAGGCCGGTCTCGAACTCATGACCTCAGGTGATCCACCTGCTTCAGCCTCCCAAAGTGCTGGGATGACAAGCGTGAGCCACCACACCTGGTCTTTTTGTATTTTTAGTAGAGATGGGGTTTCTCCATGGTGACCAGGCTGGTCTCGAACTCCTGACCTCAGGTGATCTGCCCGCTTCAGCCTCCCAAAGTGCTGGGATGACAGGTGTGAGCCACTTCGCCTGGCCCGTGCATGACTTTCAATATGGTGACCCCGTCAGATAACATGGATATCGTCGTTTCAGCCTCATTGAAGCAAATTAATTTATCATTATGAGCTGGGAAGTATGAATGAACTAACAATAGGTTCTCTGAAGACCTTTCAAAGCAGTCCTGTGTTATTCCACCCACCCTAGACCTGGCGGGCACCACACACCCACTCCCACCTGGAAATCTGAATGGGACCCAAGTCCATGGGCTAGCCAATTAAGCGAGCCTTTTCTGCTACTTTTCTGCTACTGTGTGGTGGAACCCAAGTAAGTTCACTTATCTAATTAGTAAAGATTACATAAAAATTCTGAATGTTTACACGTGTAAATAATCTTTATTCCAAGCTGGGCGCGGTGGCTCACGCCTGTAATCCTAGCACTTAAGGAGGCCGAGGCAAGCAGATCATCTGAGGTCGGGAGTTCAAGACCAGCCTGGCCAACATGGCAAAACCCTGTCTCTACTAAAAATACAAAATTAGCTGGGCATGGTGGCGGGTGCCTGTAGTGCCAGCTTCTCAGGACGCTGAGGCAGGAGAATTGCTTGAACCCGGAAGGGGAGGTTGCAGTGAGCTGAGATCATGCCACTGCACTCCAGCCTGGGCAACAAGAGAGAAACTCTGTCTCAAAAAAAAATAATAATAATCTTTATTCCAAAAGATCATTTTTCCAAGTAAGTTCATATTTCCATGTTTGGATATGAGTTTAAACAAGAGCAGATGCCTCCAACTTATGGAGAATGGCTGGGTCTCACCCACTGTCTCGTGTGAGTGGAAAAATAGTAGACCCTGTTTTCAATATTGATCCAGTATTTGCTAAACATTGAAATCATCCTCCCTGGGTTTTCCGTAAAGCTGAAAGCAGCCAGTTTCACGATGTGTGTGGGAATTTAAGATATGAATGTCATTCACAGTCCATTGCTTTTTCACTTTTTTTTTTTTTTTGAAACACACTCTTACTTTGTCGCCCAGACTGCAGTGCAGTGGTATGATCTCAGCTCACTGCAACCTCCGCCTTCCAGGTTCAAGCAATTCTCCTGCCTCCTCCTGCCTCCAGGGTAGCTGGGATTACAGGTGTGCACCACCACGCCTGGCTAATTTTTGTATTTTTAGTAGAGACAGGGCTTCACCATGTTGGTCAAACTGGCCTCAAACTCCTAACCTCGTGAATCCGCCTGCCTTGGCCTCCCAAAGTGCTGGGATTACAGGTATGAGGCACCACGCCTGGCCCCTCCACCTCCCAGGTTTAAGCGATTCTCCTGCCTCAGCCTCCCAAGTAGTTGGGATTACAGGTGCCCGCCACCATGCCTGGCTAACTTTTGTATTTTTAGTAGAGACAGGGTTTCACCATGTTGGCCAGGCTTGTCTCGAACTCCTGACCTCAGGTGATCCGCCGGCCTTGGCCTCCCAAAGTGCTGAGATTACAGGCTTGAGCCACTGGCCCTGGCCGATCTGATGGATTGATAAAGGGGAGTTTCCCTGTACACTCTCTCTTGCCTGCCGCCATGTAAGGCCGCCATGTAAGGTGTGGCTTTGCTCCTCCTTCACTTTCTGCCATGATTGTGAGGTCTCCCCAGCCATGTGGAACTATGGGTACATTAAACCTCTCTCCTTCATAAATTACCCAGTCTCAGGTGTTTCTTTATAGCAGTATGAAAATGGACTAGTACAAGATGTTATTCCAAGGAAGTTTGCTGAATTCAGACCATTTCAGTGTCTCATAAGCTTTATTTTTTATTTATTTTATTTTATTTTATTTTATTTTATTTTATTTTATTTTATATTTTATTTTATTTTATTTTTGAGACAGGGTCTTCCTCTGTCCCCCAAGCAGGAGTGCAATGGCACAATCTTGGCTCACGGCAAACTCCACCTGCCAGGTTCAAGCGATTCTCCTGCCTCAGCCTCCCGAGTGGCTGGAATTACAGGCACGTGCCACCACGCCCAGCTAACTTTTTTGTTGTTGTTGTTGTTTTAGTAGAGATGGGGTTTCACCATGTTGCCCAGGCTGGTCTCGAACTCCTGACCTCACGTGACCCACCCGACTCAGCCTCCCAAAGTGCTGGGATGAGCTTTGTTTTTGTTCCATGCATATTCGTTTGCTAGGGCAAATCTAACAAAATACCACAGAGTGGCTTAAACAACACAAATTTAGACTCACTGTTCTAGGGCACTCTAGACGTCTGAGATTAAGGTGTCCACAGAACTGCATTCCCAGTGAAGGGCCAAGGGTCCGTTTTTCCTGTCTCAAGGACACTATTACAATTTGCATTTGGTTTGTTTGTTGCAGTTGATAACTTTGCCATGCTCACTTTGGCAGCACGTATACTAAAATTGGAATGATAAATTTGCCCTATTATTTTAAACATTTTTACTTTTAACATTAGTACATTTAAATTGCATTTATTTATCATGCACACTATGTGCTTTTGTAACATCTACACACATTGTGGAAAAGCTAAATGAAACTATTGTACATACGCTTTTGGACAGCAGGGTTGTAAAATTGCGATGAGCCACCCAGGTGGACTGAAGGCCGAGAGATGCCTTTGAGTCTATGAGGATGACGTTAGAAAAACGTAGTCCATTGCAGGCCGGGCGTGGTGGCTCACGCCTGTAATCCCAGCACTTTGGGAGGCTGAGATGGGTGGATCACGAGGTCAAGAGATCGAAACCAGCCTGGCCAACATAGCGCAACCCCGTCTCTACTAAAAAAAAAAATACCAAAAAAATTAGCAGGGCATGGTGGCAGGTGCCTGTAGTCCCAGCTATGTGGGAGGCTGAGGCAGGAGAATCGCTTGAACCCGGGAGATGGAGGTTGCAGTGAGCCGAGGTCACACCACTGCACTCCAGCCTGGGCGACACAGTGAGACTCTGTCTCAAAAAAAAAAAAAAAAAAAAGAAAGAAAGGAAAACGCTGTCCACCAGGAACCGACTCTTTCATGGTTGAGTTTCAATTTTCAGGTGCAGGAATGAAATACCTGAATACTTTTGATCAATGCATGTTAGTTTGCTGGGACAGATCTAACAAAAATGCAGCAAACTGAATGGCTGAAATAACAGAAGTGTAGACCCTCTCAGTTCTGGAGTCCAGACATCAAAGTTTAAAGTGTCTGAAGAACTTTGCTTGCTCTGAAGCTCCCAGCCTGTTCCTTTACCCTGTCAAGAACCCTATTACAGTTTACAGTGAACCAATCCTCAGGTTTTGCTTGTTTATTGCAGTTGGTAAATTTGCCCTATTATATTTAAAGTTTTATCGTTTTGAAATTGACAGATTTAAATGGCATTTATTTACCATGGCACGCTATGTTATTTTGCAATATATATATACACATTGTGGAACAGCTAAATCAAGCTAACGTACATATACTTTTGGACAGCAGGGTCATAAAATCGTGCTGGTGGAATGAACGCAGGTGGAATTCTACCCAGATGGGACAGCAGGGTTGTAAAGTTGTGATGAGCCACCCAGGTGGACTGAAGGCCGAGAGATGCCTTTGAGTCTATGAGGATGACGTTAGAAAAACACAGTCCATTGCAGGCTGGGTGTGGTGGCTCACGCCTGTCATCCCAGCACTTTGGGAGGCTGAGGCGGTCGGATCACAAGGTCAAGAGATTGAGACCATCCTGGCCAACATGGTGAAACCCTGTTTCTACTAAAAATGCAAAAAATTAGCTGGGCGTGGTTCCATGCACCTGTAGTCCCAGCTACTTGGGAGGCTGAGGCAGGAGAATCGTTTGAACCCGGAAGGTGGAGGTTGCAGTGAGCCAAGATCTCACTACCGGACTCCAGCCTAGGCAACAGTGAGACTCTGTCTCAAAAAACAACAACAACAAATGCTGTCCAGTATGAACCTACTCATTCATAGCTGAGTTTCAATGTTCAGGTGCAGGAATAAAATGTTAGTTTGCTGGAGCAGATCTAACAAAATACAGAAAACAGAATGGTTTAAATAACAGCAGTGTAGATTCACCCAGTTCTGGAGTCCAGACGTCTGAGATTAAGGTGTCTGTAGACCTGTGTTTCCTCTGAGGGCTCCAGGGAGGAATCTTTCCTTGCCTTTTCTGGCAAGGAAGAAAAACACTGTCCATTCCAGTCCAGGTGCAGTGGTTCATGCCTGTTAATCTCAGCACTTTGGGAGACTGAGACAGGCAGATCATGAGTTCAAGAGTTTGAGACCAGCCTGGCCAACATGGTGAAACCCTGTCTCTACTAAAAAAAATACAAAAAAAAAAATTAGCTGGACATGGTGGTGGGCACCTGTAATCCCAGCTACTTGGGAGGTTGAGGCAGGAGAATCGCTTGAACCCAGGAGGCGGAGGTTGCAGAGAGTCGAGATCGCGCTGCTGCACTCCAGCCTGGGTGACAGAGTGAGACGCTGAGACTGTGTAAAAAAAAAGAAAAAGAAAGAAAAAAAAAGAAAAAGAAAAGAAAAAAAAAGCTGTGTACCAGGAACCGACTCATTCATAGCTGACTTTCAATGTTCAGGTACAGGAATAAAATGTTAGTTTGCTGGAGCAGATCTAACAAAATACAGAAAACAGAGTGGCTTAAATAACAGAAGTGTAGATTCACCCAGTTCTGGAGTCCAGACGTCTGAGATTAAGGTGTCTGCAGACCTGCGTTTCCTCTGAGGGATCCAGGGAGGAATCCTTCCTTGCCTTTTCTGGCATCTGTTACTTCCTTGACTTGGGGCAGCATCACTGCAAAGTTCCCATAGCTTCTCGCCATTCACATCCCATTTCCCCCTTTTCATAAGGACACCAGTTGCTAAGGACTAAATATCTGTGGCCAGGCGCGGTGGCTGATATAGTCGGCATGTTTGTCTTCTCCAAATCTCATGCTGAAATCTGATCCCTGATGTTGGAGGTGAGGCCAGGTGGAGGTGTTTGGGAATCATGCTGAAATCTGGTCTCCACTGTTACAGGTGAGGCCAGGTGGAAGTGTTTGGGTATCATGCTGAAATCTCGCCCCAGTGTTGGAGGTGAGGCCAGGTGGAAGTGTTTGGGTATCATGCTGAAATCTCGCCCCAGTGTTGGAGGTGAAGCCGGCTGCATGGAGGTGTTTGAGTCTCATGCAGAAATCTGGTCCCCAGTATTGGTGGTGAGGCTGGATGGAGGTGTTTCGCTCTCATGCTGAAATCTGGTCCCCAGTGTTGGGGGGGTGCTGGGTGAGGGTGTCTGGGTCTCACGCTGAAATCTGGTCCCCAATGTTGGAGGTGAGGCCGGCCGGATGGAGGTGTTTGGGTCTCATGCTGAAATCTGGCCCCAACTGTTGGAGGTGAGGCCAGTCGGATGGAGGTGTTTGGATCTCATGATGAAATCTGGTCCCCAAAGTTGGAGGTGAGTCTGGATGGAGGTGTTTGGGTCTCATGCTGAATTCTGGTCCCCAGTGTTAGGGGTGGGGCTGGGTGCGGGTGTTTGGGTCTCATGCTGAAATCTGGTCACCAATGTTGGAGGGGGTGCTGGGTGAGGGTGTTCGGGTCTCATGCTGAAATCTGGTCCCAAGTGTTAGGGGTGGGGCTGGGTGAGGGTGTTTGGGTCTCATGCTAAAATCTGGTCCCCAGTGTTGGTGGTGAGGCTGGATGGAGGTGTTTGGGTCTCATGCTGAAATCCGGTCCCCAGTGTTGGAGGTGGGTCTGGGTGAGGGTATTTGGGCCTCATGCTGAAATCTGGTCCCCAGTGTTGGTGGTGAAGCTGGATGGAGGTGTTCGGGTCTCATGCTGAAATCTGGTCCCAGGTGAGGTGAGGCTGGATGGAGGTGTTTGGGTCTCATGCTGAAATCTGGTCCCCAAGTGTTAGGGGTGGGGCTGGGTGAGGGTGTTTGGGTCTCATGCTGAAATCTTGTCCCCAGTGTTGGAGGTGGGGCTGGGTGAGGGTGTTTGGGTCTCATGCTGAAATCTGGCCCCCAGTGTTAGGGGTGGTGCTGGGTGAAGGTGTTTGGGTCTCATGCTGAAATCTGGTCCCCAGTGTTAGGGGTGGTGCTGGGTGAAGGTGTTTGGGTCTCATGCTGAAATCTGGTCCCCAGTGTTTGAGGTGGGTCTTGGGGAGGGTGTTTGTGTCTCATGCTGAAATCTGTTCCCCAGTGTTGCAGTTGGGGCTGGGTTGAAGCGTTTGGGTCTCATGATGAAATCCGGTACCCATTATTGGAGATGGGGCTGGGTGAGGGTGTTTGGGCTTCATGCTGAAATCTGGTCTCCAGTATTGGATGTGAGGCTGGGTGGAGGTGTTTGGGTCTCATGTTGAAATCTGGTCTCCAGTATTGGTGTTGAGGCCGGGTGGAGGTGTTTGGGTCTCATGTTGAAATCTGGTCTCCAGTATTGGTGTTGAGGCTGGGTGGAGGTGTTTGGGTCTCATGCTGAAATCTGGTCCCCAGTTTTGGAGGTGGGTCTGCGTGAGGGTGTTTGGGCCTCATGCTGAAATCTCGTCCCCAGTGTTGGAGGTGGGTCTGGGTGAGGGTATTTGGGCCTCATGCTGAAATCTGGTCCCCAGTGTTGGTGGTGAGGCTGGATGGAGGTGTTTGGGTCTCATGCTGAAAACTGGTCCCCAGCGTTAGGGGTGGGGCTCTGTGAGGGTGTTTGGGTCTCATGCTGAAATCTCATCCCCAGTGTTGGAGGGGGTGCTGGGTGAGGGTGTTTGGGTCTCATGCTGAAATCTGGTCCCAAGTGTTAGGGGTGGGGCTGGGTGAGGATGTTTGGGTCTCATGCTGAAATCTCGTCCGCAGTGTTGGAGGTGGGGCTGGCTGAGGGTGTTTGGGTCTCATGCTGAAATCTGGTCCCCAGTGCTGGTGGTGAAGCTGGATGGAGGTGTCTGGGTCTCAGGCAGAAATCTGTTTCCCAGTGTTGTAGGTAGGTCTGGGTGGAGGTGTTTGGGTCTCATGCTGTAATCTGGTCCCTGAAGTTGGAGGTGAGGCCAGGTGGAGGTGTTTGCGTCTCATGTTGAAATCTGGTCCCCAGTGTTGGGGATGAGGCCAGGTGGAGGTGTTTGGGTCTCATGCTGAAATCTGGTCCCCATTGTTGGAGGTGGGGCTGGGTGAGGGTGTTTGGGTCTCATGCTGATATCTTGTTCCCAGTGTTAGGGGTGGGGCTGGGTGAGCGTGTTTGGGTCTCATGCTGAAATCTTTTCACCGATGTTGGAGGTGGGTCTGGATGAGCGTGTTTGGGTGCCATGCGGAAATCTGGTCCCCAGTGTTGGAGGTGGGTCTGGGTGAGGGTGTTTTCGCCTCATGCTTAAATCTGGTCCCCATTGTTGGAGGTGGGGCTGGGTGGACGTGTTTGGGTCTCATGCTGATATCTTGTTCCCAGTGTTTGATGTGGGTCTGGGTGGAGGTGTTTGTGTCTTATGCTGAAATCTGGTCCCTGAAGTTGGAGGTGAGGCCAGGTGGAGGTGTTTGGGTCTCATTCTGAAATCTGCTCCCCAATGTTGGAGGTGGGGCTGGGTGGAAGTGTTTGGGTCTCATTCTGAAATCTGGTTCCCAGTGTTGGAGGTGGGGCTGGGTCGAGATGTTTGCATGTCATGCTGAAATCTGTCTCCAGTGTTGGAGGTGGGTCTGTGTGAGGGTGTTTAGGCGTCATGCTGAAATCTGGTCCCCAGTGTTGGTGGTGAGGCTGGATAGAGTTGTTTGGGTCTCATGCTGAAATCTTGTCCCCAGTGTTAGGGGTGGGGCTGGGTGAGGGTGTTTGGTTCTGATGCTGAAATCTGGTCACCAATGTTGGAGTTGGGTCTGGATGAGGGTGTTTGGGTCTCCTGCTGAAATCTGGTCCCCAGTGTTGGCGGTGGGGCTGGGTGGAAGTGTTTGGGTCTCATGCTGTAATCTGGTCCCCATTGTTGGAGGTGGGTCTGGATGAGGGTGTTTGGGTCTCATGCTGAAATCTGGTCTCCAGTGTTGGGGGTGAGGCCGGGTGGAGGTGTGTGTGTCTCATGCTGAAATCTGGTCCCCAGTGTTGGAGTTGGGGCTGCGTGAGTGTGTTTGGGTCTCATGCTGAAATCTGGTCCCCAGTTTGGAGGTGGGGCTGGGTGAGGGTGTTTGGGTCTATTGCTGAAATCTGGTCCCCATTGTTGGAGGTGAGTCTGTGTGAGGGTGTTTGGTCTCATGCTGGAATCTTGTTCCCAGTGTGGGAGGTGGGGCTGGGTGAGGGTGTTTGGGTCTCATGCTGAAATCTGGTCCCCCGTATTAGTGGTGAGGCTGGATGGAGGTGTTTGTTTCTCATGTTGAAATCTGGTCCCTAGTGTTGGAGGTGGGGCTCGGTGAGGGTGTTTGGTCTCGTGCTGAAATCTGGTCCCCATTGTTGGAGGTGAGTCTGTGTGAGGGTGTTTGGTCTCATGCTGAAATCTTGTTCCCAGTGATGGAGGTGGGGCTGGGTGAGGGGTTTGGGTCTCATGCTGAAATCTGGTTCCCAGTGATGGAGGTGGGACTGGGTGGAGGTGTTTGGGTCTCATGCTGAAATCTGTTCCCTGTTGGCGGAGGCGGTACCATGTAAGGGCATAGTGAGAAGGCACCGTCTGTGAACCAGGAAGCCGTTCCCACACACTGAATCTTCCACCCTTTGATCTTGAAATTCTAGCCAACAGAGCTGTGAGTGATAAACTCCCGTTATTTCAAACCAACCCAATTTATGACATCTCGTGATAGATGCTCAAATGGATGAAGACAACATTTATATTAGATTAGGGGCCCATTTGACTCCAGCCTGACCTCATCCTAACAGAACTAATTAATTACATCTGCAATGATGTACTTCCAAACAAGATCACAGTCTGAGGAACTGAGATTTAGGACGTCAATCTATGAATTTGGCATAGGACACATTTCCACTCGTAATAGTACAAATATCCAGAAAGCACGGTGTGGCCATAACCCCTGTCTGTTATTTGCTTGGGTTTCCCCAGAAATGGTATATTGGAATTTCCCATATATTCTTAGCCCCTGTAGGAAAGGTTTTTTGGGATAACAAAATAATAAGGAAAAAGGGGGGCAAACTAATGCATTAAGCCAGTCACTATTGCAGCTAAACAACTTGGAACATCATCTGGTGAGTATTGCACATTTTTTTTCTTTTTTTTTTTAAATTATACTTTAAGTTCTGGGGTACATGTGCAGCGTGGGCAGTTTTGTTACATAGGTATACATGTGCCATGGTGGTTTGCTGCACCCATCAACCCATTATATACATAAGGTATTTCCCCTAATGCTATCCCTCCCCTAGCCCCCCTCCCCTGACAGGTTCTGGTGTGTGATGTTCCCCTCCCTGTGTCCATGTGTTCTCATTGTTCAACTCCCACTTATGAGTGAGAACATGCAGTGTTTGGTTTTCTGTTCTTGTGTTAGTTTGCTGAGGATGATGGTTTCCAGCTTCATCCCTGTCCCTGCAAAGGACATGATTTTGTTCCTTTTGATGGCTGCAGAGTATTCCATGGTGTATATGTGCTACATTTTCTTTATCCAGACTATCACTGATGAGCATTTGGGTTGGTTCCAAGTTTTTGCTATTGTGAACAGTGCCACAATAAACATAAGTGTGCATGAGTCTTTATAGTAGAATGACTTATAATCCTTTGGGTATATACCCAGTAATGGGATTGCTGGGTCAAAAGGTACTTCTGGTTCTAGATCCTTGAGGAATTAGCACACTGTCTTCCTCAAGGTATTCACATTTTTTACATTCTCTTGTCTTCCCTGCCTTACTGTGGGCAAGGCGGTCACACTTCATTTACCACAGCTCCCAATTCTCCACAGCAATAACCTTTTGCAGATGCAAGACCTGCCTATACCTCTAGGGTGTTACAAGTGAAAATGTCAAATCAGAAATTGTCATTTTAAAAGCTTCTCTTCCTGGAGGCTGGAAGAATACTGCCATGATGCTCTAACACTCTTCCTTTACCAAGAACACGGCGGGGTGATCATTCCCTTTGTCTTAAACTCAGAATGTCAAACTGAAGAAATGAAGGCTCAGGTTGTCCTATAAAACTTGTGCGCTGCACTGCAGCAAACACACACACACAAAGTTGTAATCGTGTTGAGTCAACAGAGAGCATTTACCTTCAAGCTTTTGATAATTTTATAATCTCAATAGAGGAGAACGTGCGAGGCGGCTCCAGAAACACAGCCTGAATCTGTAAAGCCAAATGCAGGCACAAGCAGAGTCTACAGACAGCATCTGTAGAAATTGGCTGACACAACTTTGTCTCCCAAATCTGGAGTCATTTCAGAATCGGAGACCCTGTTTGTTCTGTTGGCATGTCAAGGAGAAAGCAACCATCCTTAAATTCAATGCAGTGTAAATTGTCGTGTTTTGCCGGAGAAAAAGCAGAAAGCTAACCCAAATATTGGCACGTTTACTTGATCCTGGAATAAAATGTTCAAGAGTTACAGATACATGACCCTCCTCTCCATGGTCTTCCCCTGTCTTGACTGTGGGAGAATCAATGTCTGTTGCTCATAAGTCACCCAGTCTATGGTATTCTGTGTTAGCAGCCTGAAATGGACTAAGGCATCTCATAAGAAGAAGAGGTGAGGACACAGACACACACAGAGGGATGACCCTGTGAGGGCACAGGGAGAAGACGGCGTCTACAAGCCCAGGAGAGAGGCCTCAGGAGGAACCAGCCCTGCCCATACCTGGATCTCAGACTTCCAGCCTCCAGGACTGTGGGAGAATCAATGTCTGTTGTTTATAAGTCACCCAGTCTATGGTATTCTGTGTTAGCAGCCTGAAATGGACTAAGGCATCTCATAAGAAGAGGAGGTGAGGACACAGACACACACAGAGGGATGACCCTGTGAGGCTGCAGGGAGAAGACAGTGTCTCCAAGCCAAGGAGAGAGGCCTCAGGAGGAACCAGCCCTGCCCACACCTGGATCTCAGACTTGCAGCCTCCAGGACTGTGGGAGAATCAATGTCTGTTGGTTAAGCCACCTAGTCTGTGAGACTTTGCTATGGCAGCATGGGTGAAACCCCATAATATCCACATCTTGGCTTAGGTCAGTACATTTGCATGATAAACACTTAATCTATTAACCCATTAATTCATTAATCTATGTGTGGAGTAATCCATTCATGAGGGCAAAGGTCTCATGGCCCTGTCACCTCTTAACAGAACCATTTTCCAATACTGCCACTTTGGGGATTACATTTCTTTCTTTCTTTCTTTCTTTTTTTGAGACAGAATTTCACTCGGTCACCCAGGCTGGAGTGCAGTGAGATGATCTCAGCTCACTGCAACCTCCGCCTCCTGGGTTTACCTGATTCTCCTGCCTCAGCCTCCCGAGTAGCTGGGATTACAGGTGTCTGCCAGCACGCCTGGTTAATTGTTTGTATTTTTAGTAGAGACAGGGTTTCACCATGTTAGCCAGGTTGGTCTCCATCTCCTGACCTTAACTGATCTGCCCGCCTCGGACTCCCAAAGTGCTGGGATGACAGGCGTGAGCCAACACACCCGGCTGCTGCTGTTACTTTTATTCTTACTCTCACTACTGCTCTCATGCGGTGGTAGTATAATATTATTACTCTTGTTTTTATTTTTTTTATTATTATTATTTTTGAGATGGAGTCTCATTCTGTCGCCCAGGCTGGAGTGCAGTGGCGCAATCTCGACTCACTGCAAGCTCCATCTCCCGGGTTCACGCGATTCTCCTGCCTCAGTCTCCCGAGTAGCTGGGATGACAGGCACCTGCCACCACGCCCAGCTAATTTTTTGTATTTTTAGTAGAGATGGGGTTTCACCATGTTAGCCAGGATGGTCTCTATCTCCTGATCTCAAGTGATCCACCTGCCTCGGACTCCCAAAGTGCTGGGATGACAGGCGTGAGCCACCAGACCGGGCTGCTGCTGTTAACTTTATTATTACTCCTACTACTGCTCTCCTGCGGTGGTAGTATCATATTACTGTTGTTATTACTGCTCTCATGTGGCGGTGGTATCATATTACTCTTGTTATTACTGCTCTCATGCAGCGGTAGTATCATATTACTGTTGTGATTATGACTGCTCTCATGTGGCGGTAGTATCATATTACTGTTGTTATTACTGCTCTCATGTAGTGGTAGTATCATATTACTGTTGTGATTATGACTGCTCTCATGTAGTGGTAGTATCATATTACTGTTGTGATTATGACTGCTCTCATGTGGCGGTAGTATCATATTACTGTTGTGATTACTGCTCTCATGCGGCGGTAGTATCATATTACTGTTGTGATTATGACTGCTCTCATGTGGCGGTAGTATCATATTACTGTTATTACTGCTCTCATGCGGCGGTAGTATCATATTACTGTTGTGATTATGACTGCTCTCATGTAGTGGTAGTATCATATTACTGTTGTGATTATGACTGCTCTCATGTAGTGGTAGTATCATATTACTGTTGTTATTACTGCTCTCATGTGGCGGTGGTATCATATTACTGTTGTTATTACTGCTCTCATGCGGTGGTGGTATCATATTACTCTTGTTATTACTGCTCTCATGCGGCGGTAGTATCATATTACTGTTATTACTGCTCTCATGCGGCGGTAGTATCATATTACTGTTATTACTGCTCTCATGCGGCGGTAGTATCATATTACTGTTGTGATTATGACTGCTCTCATGTAGTGGTAGTATCATACTACTGTTGTTATTACTGCTCTCATGCGGCGGTAGTATATTGCTGTTGTTATTACTGCTCTCATGTGGCGGTGGTGTCATGTTACTGTTGTGATTATTACTGCTCTCATGTAGTGGTAGTATCATATTACTGTTGTTATTACTGCTCTCATGCGGCGGTAGTATCATATTACTGTTATTACTGCTCATGCGGCGGTAGTATCATATTACTGTTGTGATTATGACTGCTCTCATGTAGTGGTAGTATCATATTACTGTTGTGATTACTGCTCTCATGTGGCGGTAGTATCATATTACTGTTATTACTGCTCTCATGTGGCGGTAGTATCATATTACTGTTGTTATTACTGCTCTCATGCGGCGGTAGTATCATATTACTGTTGTTATTACTGCTCTCATGTGGCGGTAGTATCATATTACTGTTGTGATTATGACTGCTCTCATGTAGTGGTAGTATCATATTACTGTTGTGATTATTACTGCTCTCATGTGGCGGTAGTATCATATTACTGTTGTTATTACTGCTCTCATGCAGCGGTAGTATCATATTACTGTTGTGATTATGACTGCTCTCATGTAGTGGTAGTATCATATTACTGTTGTGATTACTGCTCTCATGTGGCGGTAGTATCATATTACTGTTATTACTGCTCTCATGTGGCGGTAGTATCATATTACTGTTGTGATTACTGCTCTCATGCGGCGGTAGTATCATATTACTGTTGTGATTATTACTGCTCTCATGTGGCGGTAGTATCATATTACTGTTGTTATTACTGCTCTCATGCAGCGGTAGTATCATATTACTGTTGTGATTATGACTGCTCTCATGTAGTGGTAGTATCATATTACTGTTGTGATTATGACTGCTCTCATGTAGTGGTAGTATCATATTACTGTTGTGATTATGACTGCTCTCATGTAGTGGTAGTATCATATTACTGTTGTTATTACTGCTCTCATGTGGCGGTAGTATCATATTACTGTTGTGATTATGACTGCTCTCATGCGGCGGTAGTATCATATTACTGTTGTGATTATGACTGCTCTCATGCGGCGGTAGTATCATATTACTGTTGTTGTTATTACTGCTCTCATGCAACGGTAGTATCATATTACTGTTGTGATTACTGCTCCCATGCGGCGGTAGTATCATATTACTGTTGTGATTATGACTGCTCTCATGTAGTGGTAGTATCATATTACTGTTGTTATTACTGCTCTCATGCAGCGGTAGTATCATATTACTGTTGTTATTACTGCTCTCATGCGGCGGTAGTATCATATTACTGTTATGACTGCTCTCATGCGGCGGTAGTATCATATTACTGTTATTACTGCTCTCATGCGGCGGTAGTATCATATTACTGTTGTTATTACTGCTCTCATGCAGCGGTAGTATCATATTACTGTTGTGATTATGACTGCTCTCATGTAGTGGTAGTATCATATTACTGTTGTGATTATGACTGCTCATGCGGCGGTAGTATCATATTACTGTTGTTATTACTGCTCTCATGCGGCGGTAGTATCATATTACTGTTATTACTGCTCTCATGTGGCGGTAGTATCATATTACTGTTATTACTGCTCTCATGCAGCGGTAGTATCATATTACTGTTGTGATTACTGCTCTCATGCGGCGGTAGTATCATATTACTGTTGTGATTATGACTGCTCTCATGTAGTGGTAGTATCATATTACTGTTGTTATTACTGCTCTCATGCGGCGGTAGTATCATATTACTGTTGTTATTACTGCTCTCATGCGGCAGTAGTATCATATTACTGTTGTTGCTCTCATGCGGCGGTAGTATCATATTACTGTTGTTATTACTGCTCTCATGCAGCGGTAGTATCATATTACTGTTGTGATTATGACTGCTCTCATGTAGTGGTAGTATCATATTACTGTTGTGATTATGACTGCTCTCATGTAGTGGTAGTATCATATTACTGTTGTGATTATGACTGCTCTCATGTAGTGGTAGTATCATATTACTGTTGTTATTACTGCTCTCATGTGGCGGTAGTATCATATTACTGTTGTGATTATGACTGCTCTCATGCGGCGGTAGTATCATATTACTGTTGTGATTACTGCTCTCATGTGGCGGTAGTATCATATTACTGTTGTTGTTATTACTGCTCTCATGCAACGGTAGTATCATATTACTGTTGTGATTACTGCTCCCATGCGGCGGTAGTATCATATTACTGTTGTGATTATGACTGCTCTCATGTAGTGGTAGTATCATATTACTGTTGTGATTATGACTGCTCTCATGTAGTGGTAGTATCATATTACTGTTGTGATTATGACTGCTCTCATGTAGTGGTAGTATCATATTACTGTTGTTATTACTGCTCTCATGCGGCGGTAGTATCATATTACTGTTATTACTGCTCTCATGCAGCGGTAGTATCATATTACTGTTGTTATTACTGCTCTCATGCGGCGGTAGTATCATATTACTGTTGTTGTTATTACTGCTCCCATGCGGCGGTAGTATCATATTACTGTTGTGATTATGACTGCTCTCATGCGGCGGTAGTATCATATTACTGTTGTTATTACTGCTCTCATGCGGCGGTAGTATCATATTACTGTTATTACTGCTCTCATGCGGCGGTAGTATCATATTACTGTTATTACTGCTCTCATGCAGCGGTAGTATCATATTACTGTTGTGATTACTGCTCTCATGCGGCGGTAGTATCATATTACTGTTGTTGTTATTACTGCTCATGCGGCGGTGGTGTCATGTTACTGTTGTGATTATGACTGCTCTCATGTAGTGGTAGTATCATATTAGTGTTGTTATTACTGCTCTCATGCGGCGGTAGTATCATATTACTGTTGTTGTTATTACTGCTCTGATGCGGCGGTGGTGTCATGTTACTGTTGTGATTATGACTGCTCTCATGTAGTGGTAGTATCATATTACTGTTGTTATTACTGCTCTCATGCGGCAGTAGTATCATATTACTGTTGTTGCTCTCATGCGGCGGTAGTATCATATTACTGTTGTGATTATGACTGCTCTCATGCAGCGGTGGTATCGTATTACTGTTGTAGTTATTACTGCTCTCACACGGCGGTGGTATTGTATTACTGTTGTTGTTATTACTGCTCTCATGCAGTGGTAGTATCATATTATTACTGTTGTTCTTTTTATTGTGACCACCAGCCTTGTGCCCACTCACACTTTCTTCCTTACAATCAAGTGCTCCAAGTCCCCAGAATAGGAAACGCAAGCTGCTCTGTGATTGTTGCTGCTGTGGATCTCCTCAAAGGACGTCCTTTGTAGAAATCCAGCTCCATTAACCTTTCTTCCATTTGCTACTTTTCAGCAACCTCACACAACTCCATGCCACCACCTTTGCTCTAAAATTGCTTTTGCAAAGTGCCCACTAGAGGATTTACACCAAAACAAAAGAGCAGCGTGCCATCACAAGGTCAATGCAAACTCCACTCTTTGAGTTAAAAAACAAAAATAAAAAAAAAGAATTTGCTACAGTTTCCTTTGAGCCAACGAGGTTTTCACAGATATTAAAGTCCATTTTTTTCAGCCTGTGCAGTGGCTGACAATCAGCTTGGAGCTGGACGGACAGGTGGACCTGACACGGATGCCTGCTGACAGCCGGCTTGAAAGATTTGGGCCAGGCACGGTGGCTCACACGTGTCATCCCAGCACTTTGGGAGGCTGAAGCGAGCGGATCACCTCGGCCAGGAGTTCGAGACTAGCCTGGCCAACATGACGAAACCCCGTCTCTACTAAATATACAAAGTTAGCCAGGCCTGGTGGTGAATGCCTGTAATCCCAGCTACTCAGGAGGCTGAGGCTGGAGAATCACTTGAACCCCAGAGGTGGAGTTTGCAGTGAGCCAAAATAGGGTCATTGCACTCCAGCCTGGGAGACAGAGCGAGACTCTGTCTCAAAATAAAATAAAATAAAATAAAATAAAATAAAATATCAAAGAATAAAAAAATTAAAAATTAAAATAAATAAATAATGAAAATTACATATATATTCTGGTTAGATAAAGAATTGAATGGATGCCAAAGTGTGTCTATACAGGCATGCCTCATTTGATTGCAGTTTGCTTTATGGCACCGTCAGACACTATTTGTTGTTGTTGTTTACAAATTGCAGGAATGTCGTAACCCCACCCATGGAGAAAATCTATTAGCTTTTTTAGCAATAAAATAGATTTGAAATTGGGGTAGGGGGAGGGGGGAGGGATAGCATTAGGAGATATACCTAATGTAAATGATGAGTTCATGGGTGCAGCACACCAACATGGCACATGTATACATATGTAACAAACATGCACGTTGTGCGCATGTACCCTAGAACTTAAACTATAATTAAGAAAAAAGTAGATTTAAATTAAAGCATGCATATTTTTAAGACATAATGCTATTGCACGTTTAATAGGCTACAATATGGTTATAAACATACCTTTTATATGCACTTTTATTTTATTTTATTTTATTTTTGAGATGGAGTCTTGCTCTGTCACCCAAACTGGAGTGCAGTGGTGAGGTCTCCACTCACTGCAACCTCCGCCTAGCAGCTTCAAGCAATTCTCCTGCCTCAGCCTCTTGAGTAGCTGGGATTACAGGCAGGAGTCACCACGCCCAGGTAATTTTGTACTTTTACTATAGATGGGGTTTCGCCATGCTGGTCAGGCTGGTCTCGAACTCCTGACCTCAGGTGATCTACCCGCATCGGCCTCCATATATATATATATATATATTTTTTTTAAGTCTCTACAGATTAGAAAAAATAAATTAACTGGGCATGGTGGTGCACACCTGCGGTCCCAGCTATGCTGACACTGAGGTGGGAGGGTTACCTGAGCCCAGGAGATCGAGGCTGCAGTGAGCTATGATCGTGCCACTGCACTTGAGCCTGGGTGACAGAGTGAGACATTATCAGGGGAACTCCCATTTGTAAAACCATCAGATCAAAAGAAACCAAAAGAAAAAGAAAATCGGCCAAAAGAAAAAGAAAAAAGATTGTTCTATTCAGATATAATTCACATCCCACACAATTCACTCATTTTTCAAGTAGAGACAAGGTTTCAGCATGTTGGCCAGGCTGGTCTCGAACTCCCGACCTCAGGTGATCCACCCACCTCGGCCTCCCAAAATGCTGGGATGACAGGCGTGAGCCACCATGCCTGGCCGACAGTCACTTTTAGAATGTCAACAGTGGATGCTAGGATGGGGTCTCCTACCTCTGCCTGTCACGTGCACCGGCCCCTCTGGTCATGGACAATTCAATTTACCATTGAGTGGCTTTTAGGATATTCACAGATGCAGAGAAGCATGACTGTGGGTAGATTACAATATTTTCATCCCTTGCAGAAGACAAAGAAACCCCACACTCTTTCCCCATGACCCCACTCCCTTCCCACCCCCACCCCAGCCCCTGTGAAACCACTAATCTGCTTTGTGTCTGGACTGGTCTATTCTGAACCTTTCATCTGAATGAAATCACAGGATACGTGGTCTTCAGCGACAGGCTTCCGTTCACTGAGAATAATGTTTTCAAAGCCGTGGTATTCTCCCGACGTCAATAGCACCACGCTCTATGCTTTACCAAAGAAACAAAACAGGGTTGGTCTCCGGAAACACCGAGAACCGTGCCTCCTGCCTACGGAACGGATGCTGAGACGAGGCCCCAGGGGCCAAGAGGGTTATGATGGAGTGTAAATCACTCGTACCTTCAAAGAGGTCATTAGAAGGAACGGAAGGTCCTGTTACCAATGGTAGTTCCATTTTTACACCCCCAGACTGGCTGTTGTTACCAGCTGTTTTTTTTTGTTAATTGCTATAAAGCCTTCTCAGCTTGTCTTCAACATACATGCTTGGCCGGGTCCTTACTTGGTTAGATGCCTCTGAAATCCTTTTATTTATTTTACTTTTTATATTATTTATTTTTTATCATTTTTTTTTTTAGATGGAGTCCCCCTCTTGTCGCCCAGGCTGGAGTGTAGTGGTGCAATCTCAGCTCACTGCAACCTCTGCCTCCGGGGTTCTAAGAGATTCTCCTGCCTCAGCCTCCTGAGAAGCTGGGATTACAGGCGCCCGACACCACACCCGGCTAATTTTTGTATTTTTAGTAGAGACGAGGTTTCACCATGTTGGCCAGGCTGGTCTCGAAGTCCTGACATCAGGTGATCCACCTGCCTTGGCCTCCCAAAGTGCTGGGATGACAGGCATGAGCTAGTGCACCTGACCTATTTTATTAATTATTTATTTTATATATATATATTTTTTGAGACAGAGTCTCCCTCTTGTCGCCCAGGCTGGAGTGCAGTGGCCCAATCTCAGTTCACTGCAACCTCCACCTCCCGGATTCTCAGAGATTCTCCTGCCTCACCTTGCTGAGAAGCTGGGAGTACAGGCGCCCGACACCACACCCACCTAATTTTTGTATTTTTCGTAGAGATGGGGTTTCACCATGTTGGCCAGGCTGGTCTCGAACACCTGACATCAGGTGATCCACCCACCTTGGCCTCCCAAAGTGCTGGGACTACAGGCGTGAACCACCGTGCCTGGCCTATTTTATTATTTATTTATTTTTATTATATTATGTATTTTTTTGAGACAGAGTCTCCCTCTTGTCGCCCAGGCTGGAGTGCAATGGCTTGATCTCGGCTCACTGCAACCTCCACCTCCTGGATTCTAAGATTCTGCCTCAGCCTCCTGAGTAGCTGAGATTACAAGCACCCGACACCACACCCAGCTAATTTTTGTATTTTACTAGAGATGGGGTTTCACCATGTTGGCCAGGATGGTCTCAAACCCCCAACCTCAGGTGATCTGCCCACCTCGGCCTCCCAAAGTGCTGGGATTACAGGCATGAGCCACTGCACCTAGCCTTTTTAATTAATTAATTTTTTATTTTATGATTTTTTTTGAGATGGAGTCTCCCTCTTGTCACCCAGGCTGGAGTGCAGTGGCCCAATCTGGCTCACTGCAACCTCCGCCTCCCGGGTTCTAAGAGATTCTCCTGCCTCAGCCTCCTGAGTAGCTGGGATTACAGGCGCCCGACAGCACACCCGGCTAATTTTTGTATTTTTAGTAGAGATGGAGTTTCACCATATCGGCCAGGCTGGTCTCGAACTCCTGACCTTGTGATCCACCCTCCTCGGCCTCCCAAAGTGGTGGGATGACAGGCATAAGCTGCCGCACCTGGCCTGAAATCCCTTTAAATAGTCCACCCGCAACAGCTTCCTGTAACAGGACATTCACTCTCCTCACCCCCATGTAGACAAATTATGAGGCGGCAAGAACAAAATAATGGAAATTAGTTATCCCTCGGGCTTAGAGCAAGAACGGCACAGCCTAGCACCCCAGCCATGCTCAACTGGACTCTGAGCAATCCTCTGAGACGAGACGAACTCACATTTCCTCTCAGAATAAAAATGACCTTATTATCTTCACTGATTGCTAAAGAAGAAAAAGACGTTGATGTGAATGGGGTTGAAACATGTACCCCTCAAATTCACGTCTGCTCAGAAGCTCAAGTGTGACCTCGTTTGGAAATAGAGCCTTTGCAGATGCAATTCGTAAAGATTTGGTCAGAATGAAGCGGAGTTGGCCCCTGATGCAACATGATACTGTCATTGTAAGAGGGGAAAAATGTGGCCAGGTGCAGTGGTTCACACCTGTAATCCCAGCACTTTGGGAGGCCGAGGCGGGCAGATCACCTGAGGTCAAGAGTTTGACACAAGCCTGGCCAATTTGGAGAAACCCCATCTGTACTAAAAATTCAAAAATTAGCCGGGCGTGCTGGCAGGCGCTTGTAATCCCAGCTACTCAGGAGGCTGAGGCAGGAGAATTGCATGAAGCTGAGGCAGAGGTTGCAGTGAGCCGAGATCGCGCCACCGCCCTCCAGCTTGGGCAACAAGAGCGAAACTCCATCTCAAAAATAGTAAACTAACTAATTAATTAAAAAGCGTTGCAAATATTTATGAAACGCAAACCGGTCACACCTGCCACCTTCCTTTTCTGCTGAATCCAGATAACCTCTGCGCGTAGATTGAGTTGCTGCACCGTCGTCGTCGTGATGTTCTCCCACCAGTCCCATTTTCTCCACTGGAAAATGTGTTGGGTTTCTTTCTCGGTGGGGACCATCCACGCTATTTTTTTCACCCTGTCAGTTGCATGGAAGCTTTGCTGTTACCTGGCTGTGTCCTGGTCCTTGGACATGAGATCCCTCTGGAGTTTTCTCCATGTATAAATGGCACGGCAACTCAGTCTGATCCTTAATGTTTCATTTGCCTTTTTTTTTTTTTTTGAGACGGAGTCTTGCTCTGTCACCCAGGCTGGAATAGTGCAGTGGCTCTGTCTCGGCTCACTGCAACCTCTGCCTCCCGGGTTCAAGTGATTCTCCTGCCTCAGCCTCCTCAGTAGCTGGGATTACAGGTGCACACCAAGACGCCCGGCTAATTTTTGTATTTTTAGTAGACACGGGGTTTCACCATATTGGCCAGGCTAGTGTTGAACTCCTGACCTCGTGATCCTCCCACCTCGGCCTCCCAAAGTGCTGGGATTACAGGTGTGAGCCGCCGCGCCCGGTCCATTTTCCATTTTTATCCTTAGGAAAAAAAAAAATCTCATGGAAAAGGAATTGCTGTCCAACAACTTGTCAAAAAGGGTCTCACCATTTGCAAGGCATGAGCTTGCCTATTCTGCCGCTGTTCTAAACCCTGGAGAACACGACTAGAGTTATTTTTTTCATCTTTGTGTGTTTGTCCATTTCAGGCTGCTATAAAAATACCTAATCCTAGCACTTTGAGAGGCTGAGGTGGGTGGATTGCCTGAGCTCAGGAGTTCAAGACCAGCCTGGCCAACATGGTGAAACCCCATCTGTACTAAAAATACAAATAAATTAGCCAGGCATGGTGGCAGGTGCCTGTAATCCCAGCTACTCAGGAGGCTGAGGCAGGAGAATTGCTTGAACCCGGGAAGCGGAGGTTGCGGTGAGCCAAGATCGCGCCACTGCACTCCAGCCTGGTGACAGAGCGAGACTCCGTCTCAAAACAAAACAAAAAAACAGTACCATAGACTGGGTGGCTTATAAACAACTGACATTTTTTGCTCACAGTTCAGGAGGCTGGAAGTCCAAGATCAAGGCGTGGCAGATTCGGTGTCTGGTGAGGACCCACTTCCTGGTTCATAGATGGTGCCTTCTGGCTGTGTCCTCACCTGGTGGAAGGGGTGAAGGAACTCTCTGGGGTCCCTTTTCTCAGGGCACTAATTGCATTCATGGGGCCCCACCCTCACCACCTCATCACCTTCCAATGGCCCCACCTCCCAACACCATCCTCTTGGGGTTGAGGATTTCAACACAGGAATGATGGTGGGACGTCACTATTCTGTCCATAAACATTTTCCCCACTTTTTCTGGGGCTGGAAGCTTCATGTTTCAGGATAAGCAGTTGACCTTTACATCTCACAGTTCTGGAGGTTGAGTGTTCAGGATCAAGACGTGAGATTCAGTATCTGGTGGAAACCCCACTTCCTGGTTCATAGACAGCACTTTCTGTCTGTATCCTCACACGGTGGAACGGACGATGGAGCTCTCTGGGGTCCCTTTTGTAGGACAGGAATGCCCTTAATGAGGCTCCAACCTTACGACCTTATCATCTTCCAAAACCATCACCTCCGAAGGCCATCACTCAAGAGTGAGGAATCCACATGAATACCTTATCATCTCCCAAAAGCACCACCTCCTAACGCCATTTCTCAAGAGTAAGGATTCAACATGAACTTGGGTGAACACAGACATGAAAATCATTGTACCATGCCCTTGCTGAGTGGTCCGGATCAGGGTCTCTCTCACTGTGCACCCTGCCTGCAGCTCCCACCATTGACTCACCCCAGCCCAGGGATGTGCTGTGCTGGGCACTGAGTAATATTTCTAATACACATGAGCCTGTGGTGCAGGGTGCGTGTCCCATTCACTGCTGGAAGCAGCTCGCTGAAGAGCCCAGCTCCAAGCCAAAACCCTCTATGTGAACCCATATATATATATATATATATATATATATGTCTTATATACATATATGTATATGCATCATATACACGTATGTGTGTGTCATATACACATATGTGTGTTATATACTTACATGTATGGGTGTTATATGTACACACGTGTGTTATATAGACATAACTATTATATAACTATGTATTATACATTATCCATTATACACATAACTATATATGTTATAGAGTGTTATACATACTAATATGATTTCTATTGCAGATAATGTAATTTGAAATAGACTATATCTGTATGTAAAGTGGGGAAATTCTATGTTTCCTATGAAATTGCACTATTATATAATTTTTTTCAGACAGAGTCTTGCTGTGTCGCCCAGGCTGGAGTGCAATGGCGCAATCTCGGCTCACTGCAACCTCCGCCTCCTGGGTTCAAGTGATTCTCCTGCCTCAGCCTCCCGAGTAGCTGGGATTACAGGAGCCTGCCATCATGCCCGGCTAATTTTTGTATTTTTGGTAGAGACAGGGTTTCACCATGTTGGCCAGGCTGGTCTGGAATTCATGACCTCATGATCCACCTGCCTCAGCCTCCCAAAATGCTGGGATTACAGAAGTGAGTCACCGCGCCAGGTCCACTATTATATATTCTATCATATAGCCAAATATATATATATATATAATGCATTATCTGTATTACATATCGTATTTACTATTATGCACATATAACTATTGTAGACAATATGATATATAATAAGATATACATACATCCATATTGCAATCTGGAAAAACCTTATATTTTCTATAAATTGCACTACTGGATATGCAAACATATACCATATCATACTTTATACATAACACATGATATGTTATAATGTATAATATGGTAACTATCCTGGAGGATAGAATATATGTATATCTGTATGCAAGGTGGGAAAATCTAATTTTTTTCTACAAAGTTGAACTATTCTGTGTATAATATATATAATAAAACACATATAGGCCGGGTGAGGTGGCTCACGCCTGTCATCCCAGTACTTTGGGAGGCCAAGGTGGGTGGATCACGAGGTCAGGAGATTGAGACCATCCTAGCTAACACGGTGAAACCCTGTCTCTACTAAAAATACAAAAATTAGCCAGGCATGGTGGCGGGTGCCTGTAGTCCCAGATACTCAGGAGGCTGAGGCAGGAGAATTGCTTAAACCTGGGAGGCAGAGGTTGCAGTCAGTGAAGATTGCGCCACTGCACTGCAGCCTGGGTGACAGAGCGAGACTCCTGCAAAAGAAAAAATATATATGTATATCTTTAATATATATATAAAGATATATATCTTTATTTATAAATATATATCTTTTATATATATAAAAGATATATATTTATAAATGTATATCTTATATATAATATATATAATAAAGATATATAATATATATAAAGATATATATAATATATAATAAAGACATATATCTTTTTATATGTATAAAGATATATGTCTTTATTTATAAATATATATCTTTTATATATATAAAAGATATATGTCTTTATAAATAGATATATCTTTAATATATAAAGATGTCTTTATGGATAAATATATATCTTTTATATATAAAGATACATGTCTTTATAAATATATATTTTATATATAATATATATCTTTATATATACTTTATCTATAACATATATATCCCATGTATAATATATATTATATATACATATCTTTTTAAACAATTGCACGATTATATATTCTGCATCTTATAGATGTTTTATAGGTGTTATAAAGTACATATAACACAAAGCATGACACTATGCTGCATTTTGTATGCCAGCACACTGCAGAATACCATGACTGAAACAGCCTCTCACCCGTCCCACTAACCCTCCTTCTAGCCCTTGTTTTCTTTTCTCACTGAGTCTCAGGGGATGCCGGCCCCCCGAAACGCAGAGCTGAGCATTTTGGCGCGGCCACCGGGTAACCCTACAGAAACAGCCTCTCTGTCTCCACAGGCTTCCAGGCATCCCAGGGAAATTTGAAAGCTTCACTGCATTCTAACCTGGTGACAGAGCACGACTCTGTCTCAAAAAAAAAAAAAAAAAAAAAAAAGAAAGCTCCCCCGGACAAGGACGGGATCAGATTACAAATTGGCTTTGCAGGGCAGCTGGCCACAGGCAACTGAAAATTGATTCATCTTGGCTGGCCTGTATTGATGGGATGTCTTGCAGCCAAGCTGCTGAAGCCGCGTCCAAACTGGAGGCTCCTCACTGACTCCTGAGGGCACCCCCAACCCACTAGGGATGGCGGAGTTAAGGTGCAGAACACCTGGCTAGCTCAGCGGTTTCTCAAACTCTCTGCATTTCACCACCCCTTGCTGATACCTTAGGACTCCTGTTACCCAGCCGAAACCTCCCATCAAATAAACGTGGGTCTCTGGGGGTGGATCCTAGCCTCAGTATTTTCTAAAAGCTCCCATAAAATGCCTTTGTGCACCCAGAGTTCAGAGCCACTGCTTAGGAGTAACTCACCACAGGTCATAGATGCTTGCTAACAACAGAATAAAATGGCACCAACCCGTGAAAACGTTTGGATCCTACCAGAAAAGAAAGCCAAAAGTTAGTGCTGCAATGAACATTCGTGCGCACGTGTCTTTATGCTAGAACAATTTATTTATTATTATTATTATTATTATTATTATTGAAACCAAGTCTCACTATGTCACCCAGGCTGGAGTGCAGTGGCAGGATCTTAGCTCACTGCAACCCCTGCCTCCCGGGTTCAAGTGATTCTCCTCTGTCAGCCTCCCAAGTAGCTGGGACTACAGGCATGAGCCACCATGCCTGGCTGATTTTTGTATTTGTAGTAGAGATGGGGTTTCACCATGTTGGCCAGGCTGGTCTCAAACTCCTGACCTCAGGTGATCCGCCTGCCTCAGCCTCCCAAAGTGTTGGGATTACAAGTGTGAGCCACCATGCCTGACAAATTTTTGTATTTGTAGTAGAGATGGGGTTTCACCATGTTGGCCAGGCTGGTCTCAACCTCCTGACCTCAGGTGATCCACCCGCCTCAGCCTCCCAAAGTGTTGGGATTACTGGCGTGAGCCAGCTAAATTTTGAATTTTTAGTAGAGACAGGGTTTCACCATGTTAGGCTGGTCTCGATCTCCTGACCTTGTGATCCGCCTGCCTCGGCCTCCCAAAGTGCTGGGACTACAGGCGTGAGCCACCACGCCTGGCTAATTTTTGTATTTGTAGTAGAGATAGGGTTTCACCATGTTGGCCAGGCTGGTCTCAAACTCCTGACCTCAGGTGATCTGCCTGCCTCGGCCTCCCAAAGTGTTGGAATTACTGGCGTGAGCCAGATAATTTTTGTATTTTTAGTAGAGACAGGGTTTCACCATATTGCTCAGGCTGGTCTCGATCTCCTGACCTTGTGATCTGCCTACCTTGGCCTCCCAAAGTGCTGGGATTCCTGGCGTGAGCCACCGTGCCCAGCTAATTTTTGTATTTTTAATAGAGACGGGGTTTCACCATTTTGCTCAGGCTGGTCTCGATCTCCTGACCTTGTGATCCACCTGCCTCGGCCTCCCAAAGTGCTGGGATTACAGGCGTGAGCCTCCGTGCCCGGCCATTTACACTAGAACAATTTATATTCCGTCAGGTATATACCCAATCATGGGATTGCTGGGTAGAATGGTAATTCTGTTTTTAGTTCTTTGAGGAGTTGTCACAGTGCTTTCCACAATGGTTGAACTAATTTATATTGCCACCAGCAGCATATATGCGTTCCCTTTTCTCTGTAACCTCGTCAGCATCTGCTGTTTTTCGATTTTGTAGTAATAGCCATTCTGACTGAAGTGAGATGGTATCTCATTGTGGTTTTGATTTGCAATTCTCTAATGATTAGTGATGTTGAGAATTTTTCTCATATGACTCTTGACCATACGTATGCCTTCTTTTCAAAACTACCTGTTCATGTCACTATTCACAACAGCAAAAAGATGGAATCAATATCAATGCCCATCAGTGATAAACCGGATAAAGAGAATGTGGTAGCTATACACTGTGGAATACTATACAACCATAAAAATGAACAAGATGGCCAGGCGTGGGGGCTCACGCCTGTAATCCCAGCACTTCGGGAGGCCAAAGGGGGTGGATCACCTGAGGTTGGGAGTTCAAGACCAGCCTGTCCAACATGGAGAAATCCCATCTCTACTAAAAATACAAAATTAGCCGGGCGTGGTGGTGCATGCCTGTAATCCCAGCTACTCGGGAGGCTGAGGCAGGACAATGGCTTGAACCCGGGAGGCGGAGGTTGCAGTGAGCTGAGATCGTGCCATTGCACTCCATCCTGGGCAACGAGAGCAAAAACCCTGTCTCAAAAAAAAAGAAAAAGAAAAAAAAATGAGATCATGTCCTCTGCAAGGACATGGCTGGAACTGGAGACTATTTCCCTCAGCAAACTAACACAGGAAGAGAAAATGAAATACGACCTGTTCTCACTGATAAGTGGGAGTTAAATATCCAGAAGACATGGAAACACAGAGAGAAAGAAAAGACAGTGGGGTCTACTTGAGGGTAAAAGGTGATCCTCTTCTTTTCTTTTTTTTTTTTTTGAGATGGAGTCTTGCTCTCTCACCCAGGCTGGAATGCAGTGGCTCGACCTCAGCTCACTGTAACCTCCTCCTCCCAGGTTCAAGGGATTCTCCTGCCTCAGCCTCCTGAGTAGCTGGGATTACAGGCATGCACCACCGCAAAAAAAAAAACCACAAACTTTTTTTTTGTATTTTTAGTAGAGATGGGGTTTCACCTTGTTAGTCAGGCTGGTCTTGAACTTTTGACCTCAAGCAATCCACACACCTCGGCCTCCCAAAGTGCTAAGATTATAGGCATGAGCCACTTCGCCCAGCCAATACTCTTCTTGTAAAGACACAATTCTACCAGGTTACAACCCCACACTTATGATCACATTTGACCTCAGTTACCTCCTCACAGACCCTGTCTCCAAATACAGTCGTAATGGTGGACTCAGAGCTTCCACCTGTGTCTCTGAGCGGTGGTAGGGGGTCAAATCCAGTCCACAAGAAGAGATGGGAAGGGGACCAGCCTATAGAGAAAGCACCTGGTGGCTGCAAACACCAAGCCAGATCCATGGTTCCTGAGCTGTTCTACACGCTGAATGATCAGAATTGACTCTGGGGCTGGGCATGGTGGCTCACACCTGTAATCCCAGCACTTTGGGAAGCTGAGGGGGTGGATCACCTGAGGTCAGGAGTTCGAGACCAGTCTGGCCAACATGGTGAAACCCCGTCTCTGCTAAGAATACAAAAAATTAGTCGGGTGTGGTGGTGCCCACCTGTAATCCCAGCTACTCAGAAGGCTGAGACAGGAGAATCGCTTGAACCTGGGAAGTGGAGGTTGCAGTGAGCCAAGATTGTGCCACTGCACTCCAGCCTGGGTGACAGAGCAAGACTCCGTCTAAAAAAAAGAAAAAAAAAATTGAACAGCAAGGTGTGCATGGAAAGAAAACTCACTACCTAATTTTGTGCTGAGCTCCTAAGACCTGAAATGAGCTCTGCCATTCCTGCCTGTAGATTCTGAGCAGTGTCTGAAAACACATGCCTGAGAAATCCAGTCTTTGGTCAGTAAGAAAACATCCGCCAAGGTCTGAGTATGGAGCGCGACCCTGTTAAGTTGAGATTAAATTGTGGTCACTGAAGAGCAAGTGGGTAATTAACAAATCACAGAGCAATTAGCCAGCAGAAATGACTAAATCAAGACTGGGACCTGAAGGATAGGAAATTCTTCCTCCAGGGTCACAAAGTGGAAATTCCAGCTGAAATGTTTATCTTGGTCTGTGGCAGTTTGAGTTAGAAAAGAGGAGGGTGTCCAGAGATGGTGTCCGGAGACCCTGAACAAAAGGATGTCCACTGGGATTCATTCTCATTGTTGATGAGAGCCCAGGGGGTGATCCTCGGGACACCACAGTAAATGATAGATGATACATAGATGGAAAGGGTAGATAGATAGATAGATAGATAGATAGATAATAGATGATAGATGGAAAGGATAGATAGATAGATAATAGAAGATAGATACATGATAGATCTATAGATAATAGATAGATGGAGATGAGAGATACGTACATAATAGATGATAGATAGATGATAGATCTATAGAAAATAGATAATAGATGGAGATAAGAGATACATAGATAATAGATAGATACATAATAGATGATAGATACATGATAGATCTATAGAAAATAGATGGAGATGAGCGATACATACATAATAGATGATAGATAGGCAGATAATGATGGATCAATAGGCAATAGATAATAGACAGATGGAGATAAGAGATACATAGATCATAGATAGATGATAGATCGATAGATAATAGATGGAGATGAGAGATACATAGATGATAGACGGATGATAGATCGATAGATAATAGATGGAGATGAGAGGTACATAGATAGGATAGATAAATAGAGATGATAGATGGAAAGGATAGATAGACACATAATAGATGATAGATAAATGATAAATCGATAGATAATAGATGGAGATGAGAGACAGATAATAGATGATAGATAGATAGGCAGATAACACATGATCGATGATAGATCAATAGATAATAGATGGAGATGAGAGATACATAGATGATAGATAGATGATAGATCGATAGATAATAGATGGAGGTGAGAGATACATAGATAATAGACAGGTTAGATAAATAGACATGATAGATGGAAAGGATAGATAGATACATAGATAGATAATAGATGATAGATTGATGATAGGTCGATAGATAATAGATAGATGGAGATGAGGGATAGACGATAGATAGATAGAGGTGATAGATAAATAGAGATGATAGATAGTTGATAGTCAGACAGGTAGAACAGAAATGTATCCTCTCCCAGTCCTGCAGACCACAAGTCTGAACTGAATGTGTCTCAGGGCTGAGCTCCCTCTGGAGGTTCTAGGGGAGGATCCTTCCTGCCTCTCCCAGATCCTGGGGGTGGCAGGCATCCATGGGCTTGTGGCCACATCATTCCAGTCTCTGCCGCCATGTCCATGTGGCCTCCTCGTCTGTGTCTGTGTCTCCTCTTCTGTCTCTTGTGAGGACACCTGTCATTGGACTTAAGGCCCATGCACCTCCAATATGATGTTGTGTTAACTCATCACTTCAGCAAAAATCTTATTTCCGAATAAGGTCACATTCTGAGGTTCCCGTTGGATGGATTTGGGACACATTCTTCAAAGCAGCCCACTCAGGTAACAGCATGATTATTCCCCAGGATTATCTACAGTTGATAGACCAAGGGTCAGGTAAGAGGCAGAAAGACCAGGAAGAGATGGCTTCAAAAGTCAAGCACAGGGTGTGTGGTGGAGGGCTGAGACTTCACTGGGCACCCTAGAGGTCATAATGTACTCACCTGTGGGATACATGCTGAGGGCAGAACCATGAGGATTTCCTGATAAAAGCCTATGTTCTGGGAAATTCATAATTACACAAGATGTGCCAAACAGCCTTGTGACACCAAGAATATGTTCAGACATTGCCAAATGTGCCCTAGGGCAAAACATCGTACCTGGTTGCTAGCAACTGCCATAGATAGATATATAATAGATAGGTAGTAGGGAGAGAGCAAGGGGGAGAGAGCAAGAGTGAGAGAGAGAGAGAGAGAATACTTAGGTAAATAGATGAGAGATAGCTGGATAGATAGATAGATAGACAGATGATAGATTAGATAGATGCTAAGGAGGTAGGTATATAGACAAGTAGATGGATCAATAGATGATAGATAGATAGATAGATAGATAGATAGATAGATGCTAAGGAGGTAGGTATATAGACATGTAGATAGACCAATAGGTGATAGATAGATGCTAAGTAGATAGGTAGGTAGATATGTAGATAGATCAATAGATGATACAGAGATAGATGCTAAGTAGGTAGATAGATAGATATATAGATAGATCAATAGATGATAGATAGATGCTAAGTAGATAGGTAGACACATATGTAGATAGATAACAGATGATAGATGCTAACTAGGTAGGTAGATAGATGTGTAGATAGATCAATAGACAATAGATAGATTAGATAGATGATAGATAGATGATAGATAGATAATAGATGCTGAGTAGGTAGGTAGATAGATATATAGATAGGTCAATAGATGATAGATGCTAAGTAGGTAGATAGATGTGTAGATAGATCAATAGATGATAGCTAGATACAAAGATACATAGACGCTGAGTAGGTAGGTAGGTAGATATGTAGAGAGATCAATAGATGATAGATAGATACATAGATACATAGACGCTGAGTAGGTTAGTAGGTAGATATGTAGAGAGATCAATAGATGATAGATAGATACATAGATGCTGAGTAGGTAGGTAAGTAGATATGTAGGAAGATCAATAGATGATAGATGGATACACAGATACATAGATGCTGAGTAGGTAGGTAGGTAGGTAGATATGTAGAAAGACCAATAGATGACAGATAGATGCTAAGTAGGTAGACGGATAGATATGTAGATAGATCAATAGATGATAGAGAGGGATAATAGATGCTAGATCGATCAATGCACAGATGATAGAAAAATAGATGATAGACATGACAGATGATAGATGAGTTACATAGATGATAGAAAAAAAGATGATCAATACACAGAATGATAAATGATAGAAATAGACAATGGATAGATACGTGATAATACATGATATATAGATATAGGTAGATGTTAGATAATAGATGATATATAGAAGATATGTAGATATTAATAGATAGATGAACAGATAGAATAATAACAATAGTGACAGATGAAAGACAGAGAGAGAATATGTAGACTGAGTCTCTCATGCTAAAGAAGATTTTCTCAACCTCAGCAGTATTGATGTTTAAAACCAGATCATTCTGGCCAGGCACAGTGGTTCACGCCTGTAAACCCAACACTTGGGGAGGCTGAGGCGGGCGGATCTTGAGGTCAGCAGTTCGAGACCAGCCTGGCCAACATGGTGAAACCCCATCTCTGCTAAAAATACAAAAATTAGCCAGGTATGGTGGCATGTGCCTGTAGTCCCAGCTAGTCAGGCGGCTGAGTCAGGAGAATCGCTTGAACCTGGGTGGCGGAGGTTGCAGTGAGCTGAGATCGCGACACTGCACTCCGGCCTGGGCGACAGAGAGTGAGACTCCATATCAAAAAAAATAAAAATAAAAATAAACAAAAAACCCAGGAGATGATTAATTTTTTTTTGAGATGGAATTTCACTCTTGTCACCCAGGCTGGAGTGCAATGATGTGTTCTCGGCTCACTGCAACCTCTGCCTCTCAGGTTCAAGCGATTCTCCCATCTCATCCTCCTGAGTAGCTGGGATTACAGGCACCCGCCACCACGCCTGGGTAATTTTTTTGTATTTTTAGTAGAGACGGGGTTTCACCATGTTGTCCAGGCTGGTCTCGAACTCCTGACCTCAAGTGATCCGCCCACCTCGGCCTCCCAAAGTGCTGTGATTGCAGGCGTGAGCCACCGTGCCCGGCCAAGATGACTAATCTTACGGGCAGAACATCCAAGACCAGTTTCTCCCTGCGGTTACTTCTGTGGCACCTGGCCAAGACAAATAGCCTGAGACCCGTCTTTCTGAGAAAGACAAACTGTGAGCAGCAGAAATTGATTTTTATTAGCTCAGGGAAGCAGAATGTGTTACACTTTGGAACTGGCAAGAGATGAGAACTAGCAGGATCTCTAAACGCAGAGGAACATTTCAAAAGTGTCTCAAACTCACCAAGTTTCGATTACTTTCTTCTTCCTGTAACATCTGAGCACTGCTCAAAGGCTGGGACTTCAGGCTAACTCAACAGGGGGACTCAGAGAATATTAATTAGATTTCAGACATTGAAGCATGGATGTGAGTCATGAGCCAACACCAAAAATAAAATTTTAAAGCATTTGATGCAATATGTCAAGGGGAAGATAAGTCGGAAGGGAACTATGGAAAAACGCCTTTATTTTTTCCTGAGAGGATGGCAGATATTCAAAGCCTTTCTCTCTGGGCTGAGACGTCATGGTCCTTTGCTCTGCCTGGAACTGGAAGTTATCCCTTGAGATTATATTTATACACGCACCAAATGGCGTCAAACAGAAACATGGAAATGTCCCAGTTTTTAATCTGACTCGAAAGGGTGTTTTTCTCACTGTTTAAGCCTGTTCTTTGAGTTCCGTGGGGTACTGAGGTGGATTCCAGCATCTGGCTCAGTGGAAGGTCTTGGGATCCCACAGGGGTTCTGGTTTGAAAGAGGCTCAGCTCACTCACTGCTCTCTTATATATCGAATAAGGTAAATGAATTTGCCATTAAATACTCCCAAAGAAAACTCCAACCCCAAACAGCTGTACAGGTAAATTCTACCAATTATTCAAGAAAAAAAAAACCTCAATGCTATAGAAATGCTTCCAGAAAATGGAAGCATATACTTCTCAGCCCATTATATTAAAGACTTTTTGTATATTTGCTCATGAGGAATCTTTGCCATTCGTTTTAGAGTCTGACAATGTCCTAGTCTGGTGTTAGTATCCAGGGAATGCTGGCTTCGCAAGATGTTGACAGATTAATACCACCAGTACTAAAACAATAGTATTGGCCGGGTGCAGTGGCTCACACCTGTCATCCCAACACTTTGGGAGGCCGAGACAGGCGGGTCACCAGGTCAAGAGATTGAGACCATCCTGGTCAACATGGCGAAACCCCGTCTCTACTAAAAATAACAAAAATTAGCAAGATGTGCTGCTGGGTGCCTGTAATTCCAGCTACTCGGGAGGCTGAGGCAGGAGAATCGCTTGAATCCGGGAAGCGGAGGTTGCAGTGAGGCTGAGATCGCGCCACTGCACTCCAGCCTGGATGACAAGAGTGAGACTCCGTCTCAAAAACATAAATGAAAAGAAAAGAAAGAAAAGAGAGTCTCACCCATAAGTGGGAGTTGAACAATGAGAACACATGGACACAGGGAGGGGAACATCACACACCGAAAAGGAGAGGAGAGGGGAGGGGAGAGGAGAGGAGAGGAGAGAGGAGAGGAGGGAGGAGAGGAGAGAGGAGAGGAGAGAGGAGAAGAGAGGAGAGAGGAGAAGAGAGGAGAGAGGAGAGGAGAAGAGAATATTTCATGACCAAGGGTTGGGGAAGGAAAGAATCTATCCCAGAAATGTGGGTTGGCTCAGCCTTTGAAGCAGATCAAGGTAACTCACCATGACAACAGAATAAAGAATTAAAAGCATATGATTACAGTAAATGCCAAAAAGACAGTTGACAAATGTACACATTCATGTTAAAATATATATATATATCTTAAAGTAGGAATAGAGACAATTTCTTCCACCTTATAAAGCACATTACAAACTGACAGCTATTGATTATACTTAGCAGGGAAGGGCTAAATGCCTTCCTGGTAAGATCAGGAGCACAGCAAAGTGTCCTGTCTCACACAAAAGCAAACTGTAGGACCCTCTAGTGCAATTCAAAAAAGCTAAGAAAATGCCTACATATTGGGAAGGAGGAATAAAACTTTTTTTATTTAAGAAAGTGCTTATGCAATAGAAACGATATGAAAAATAGTTCAACCATTGTAGAAGACAGTGTGGCGATTCCTCAAGGATCTAGAACCAGAAATACATTTGACCCAGCAATCCCATTACTGGGTATACACCCAAAGGATTATAAATCAGTTTACTATAAAGACACATGCACACGTATGTTTATTGCAGCACTATTCACAATAGCAAAGACTTGGAACCAACCCAAATGTCCATCAATGATAGACTGGATGAAGAAAATGTGGCACATATACACCATGGAATACTATGCAGCCATCAAAAAGAATGAGTTCATGTCCTTTGCAGGGACATGGATGAAGCTGGAAACCATCATTCTCAGCAAACTAACACAAGAACAGAAAACCAAACACCGCATGTTCTCACTCATAAGTGGGAGTTGAACAATGAGAACACATGGACACAGGGAGGGGAACATCACACACAGGGGCCTGTCAGGGGGTGGGGGGCAAGGGGAGGGAGAGCATTAGGACAAATACCTAATGCATGCAGGGCTTAAAACCTAGATGACGGGTTCACAGGTACAGCAAACCACCATGGCACATGTATACCTCTGTAGCGAACCTGCACATTCTGCACATGTATCCCAGAAGTTAAAGTAAAATAAAAATAAAGAGAAAGGGACCTTCTAACTAGGCTACTGGTTAAAAATAAAAAAGAAAAGAAAAAGCAAAGGTCCAGATATTGAACTGGACGTTTTAGACAAGCAAGCATTCTTTGGATTTTAGAGCCTCCCGGGCTGAAAGAGTAACTTAGCTTGGGTACAGGCACCCTCCACTGGACACATGGGTTCACAGAATGGGATTTGGATAGAAAGCAATTATCTCATAACGTTACAGAAGAGGAAGCTTCAATACACTTCCAAACAAATGAACCCGGTGACGTGACAATTCGCCGCAAAACTATGATTAAGAAAATTAAAATGTATCCACGACTCTTTCAAACACCTTGGAACGTATTAAGGGAGAGGGGAAATGAGAATCTGTTTAATCCGCCGATGAAAAGGTTTTGAAAGCTGGTTTTGCATGATCATAGGGAAGAGAGACCAGGTGCTCCAAGAACCTTCATAAATGGAAAATCACTGGAATTATGCACCATTGTGAATCAGGCAGGTGTTTGAGACCCTGTAAAGGTTCAGATACAACGGTTATTTATTTTTCACTTCCTAGTAGATATTCTAACCGTGCAATGCTGGGTTGCTGGGCTGCTGTTACTGACAGATGCATGAGTCTCTTTATTAGGTGCCTGATGGAGTGTGTGAAATCCTTGGTCTTTTTACATTTTTTAAACAGAAATTGGCCACTGGAGAACTTCAGTCAAAAATTTCCACATGGCTTCAAGTCTGTTTCATTTTAAAATCTGAAACCGTATGTTTCTTAAAGAGAAAATGTAGGTAGGTGAGCGGCAACAATTAGCATCTGTCTTACATGTTTTATACATAATTATGAGATAAATAGAATAAATGTAGTGTATACATACACGAATACACATATACATATATACACACATACATATTCACACATATATACACACGTACATATACATATCTACACACACACATACACATACATATGCACACACATACATATATACACACATATATACACACATATATATATACATGTACATATATACACACATATATACATGTACATACGTGCATATAAACATATACATATATACACACATATGTACACACAGACATGTGCATATACATATATACACACATACATGTACATGCAGACAGATATACACACATGCATATATACATATATACACACATGTACATATATACACATGTACATATAAACATACACACATATACATATACATACGCACATATATACACATACATATATACAAATCACATATATACTCATATATACGTGTACATATATACACATACATATATGCACATATACATATATACATATAAATGCACATATACATATACACACACATATATACACTCACACATATATACATGTACATATATACACACATACATCTATACGCACATATATACACATATACACACATACATATATACACATACATATATACATATACATGTATACACACATACATATGTATATATACCCACACACTCACACAGAGTTGGCTGTTCATATCTGTGGCTTCCAAATCCGTGGATTCAACCAACCACAGATGAAAAATATTTGGAAAAAAATGCATCTGTACTGAACATGTACAGACTTTTTAAAACATTATTCCCTGAACAATATGGTATAGTAACTATTTACATAGCACTTACATTGTATTAAGTATTATAAGTAATATAGAGGCAATTGAAGGTATTTGGAAGGATGTGCATAGCTAATATGCAAATACTACACCATTTTATATCAGCCACATCCATGAATTTTACTATTATCTGTCGTGTGTCCTGGAACCAATCCCTCACAGATAACAAGGGATGACTGTATATAGATGAGTTAGAGATACAGAAATATAGAAAGAGAAAAATAAATAGATAAGATACCTGGATAGAGCGATACAGCGATGAAAGGATTGATTGACTGATGATAGATATATGGATGGATAGATAGAAGATAGATAATACATAGATACATACATAGATAGCTAGATAGATAGATACTAGATACATAGATAGCTAGATAGAGAGATACATAGATGATAGATAGAGATAGATAGATACATAGATAGATATAGATAGAAGATAGATACATAATACATAGATACATAGATATATAGCTAGATAGATAGATACTAGATACATACATAGATAGCTAGATAGATAAATAGATACATAGATGATAGATAGGTAGATAGAGATAGATACATAGATAGATATAGATAGATAATACATAGATACATAGATATAGATAGATAATAGATACATAGATATAGATAGATAGTAGATAGATAGATACATAGATAGTAGATAGATAGATACATAGATAAATAGATAAGTAGATAGACTGGGGGCAGAGATGAGGAAGTGAGGATGGAGAGACGTTGGCGGGCTCAGGTGAGGAAGGGACTTTCACGTCAAGGGTGAAGGGCATCGTGGCAGTGGGGGTTCAATGTGGTGGACCCGGAGTCTCTGTGGCCAGGCGACTGAGGGGCAGCAAGGTGGGATGAGTGCACTGTCCACGCAGCCCTCTCCACCCAGGGACGCTGGTCATCCCCTGCCCCTCAGGTGACACCATCTACTCAACCCACAGGTCCTGCAGGTGCATCTTTCAGGCTGAAACCACCCACCTCTTGGTGACCAAACTGGAGGAATGGCCAGCGCCTCTCCTGGTCCCCTCCTGCCTGGCTGAGCCTCTCCAGGAAATCCAGGACATTCACTGAAGAGGGTGTAAACCCTGACCCAGCGGGTGGGGTTTGTGTGTGAGGCTGAAAGAGTCAACACCAGGGTGGCATGTCATCCTGGAGCGGCACACCCCTTTACCCCTGGGAGAGCAGGTTCTTCCTCGACTCAGAAATAGGTGGATTTCTGAAAATGTACGCAGTGACACAGCAGTGGGGGGCATATGAGTACATGACTCTGTGCATATGGTTCTCTCTCTATATATACATCTGTATATCCAATGTGCGTTTATACATGTGTGTGTACACACCTCAGTGTATATGGCTCTATCATCTGTCAATCAACACGACATCAATCTATGTACCTGTCTCCTATCTATCATCTATCTCTATCTATCTATCTACTATCCATCTATCTATCTTTCTATCTACTATCTATCTACTATCTATCTTTGTCTATCATCTATCTATCTATCTATCTATCTATCTATCTATCTATCTATCTATCTATCATCTGTCTACACAGCTACCTGTCTACTGTCTTTCTATCTACCTACCTACCAGCTACTTGTCTTCTATCTATCTACCAGTTACTTTTCTATCTACCTATCTACCTACCAGCTACTTGTCTACTATCTATCTTCTATCTCTGTCTACTATCTACCTATTTACTTATCTATTATCTATCTATCTACCATCTATCATCTATCTATCTATCTGTCGTCTATCTCCTATCTATCCATCCAGATATCTATGTACCTGTCTCCTATCATCTATGTTTCTATCTATCTATCTTATCTATCTATCTATCTATCTATCTATCTATCTATCTATCATCTGTCTACACAGCTACCTGTCTACTGTCTGTCTACTTACCTACCAGCGACTTGTCTTCTATCTATCTATCTACCACTTTTCTACTATCTACCTACCAGCTACTTGTCTACTGTCTATCTTCTGTCTACTATCTATTTACTTATCTATCTATTATCTATCTACCATCTATCATCTATCTTTCTATCATCTATCTATGTATGTATCTATCTATCTATGTATCTATCTGTCGTCTATCTATGTATCTATGTATTTATCTATCTCCTATCTATCCATCCAGGTATCTATCATCAATTAATCTTTCATCTCTGTATCGCCCTATCTCTCTATATATCTTTCTGTATCTCTAAGTCATCTATATACAGTCATCCCTTGTTATCTGTGGAGGATTGATGTCAGGACACTCAGCAGATGCTAGTAAAATTCATGGATGTCCCTTATATAAAATGGTGTAATATTTGCATATTGCCCACGCATATCTTTCCAGATACCTTCAATCACCTCTATATTCCATCCTCGCTACCTCATCTCTGCCCCCTAGTCTGAGAGCAAAGAAATCCCTCCCTCTAAGCATCAACCACTTTAGGTCTAACCCAAACCCACGCGCGCCTCCCTCTTGAAAACAGACCTTGAAGTCAAGCGAGGGAGAGGCTGGTTTTTCTCCATCTCTCTGGTCTAACCCATCCCTCCCCTGGCGAGATGAAGCAAGCACCATCAGGCTACTCAAATTAGTTGGCAGGGCAGTGGGTGAAAGGGAAGATGAGCAACTGAATGAGAGGGAGAAACCTCGTTTACAAACACCCCAAAGCATCACCCTGCCGTGTGTACATAGAACATTACCAAGTCCCTTCTTCCTTCATTCTAAGGAGGATGCACCTCTGACATCCAGCCTGATTCAGGCTAGGCTGGAGATCAAAGGCTCAGAAAAAGAGCCTGATGTTCTCAGAGGACCCCATCCAGGTCTCCAGAATGGGAAAATCCCCACTGGGGGGTTTAAAGTGGAAACCCAGGTGGGATGGAGGTGATTCTGCCCAGAGGGTCCCCACTGCCCAACCAGGTTTGAGAGCCTGTGCTTGCAGCCAGCAATGGGTCCACAATTGGGATTTGGAGGTCCCTGCCAGATATATTCCTGTTGCAAAATGACTGTTTTCTTGTGCTTTTAATCCCCATGTTTCCTCCGAGTACCTGAAGCCTCCCTTCCAGTCATAACTCAGGGCCTTTCCAACTCTTGGCATCTTCCCAAGATGCCAATCTTCCCAGTCTTCTCTCCTACATTCTTGTAAACGACTTCAAATAATTTTTTTTTTGAGCCAGTCTTGCTCTGTCACTCAGGCTGGAGTGCAATGGCACAATCTCGGCTCGCTGCAACCTCCGCCTCCCGGGTTCAAGCAATTGTCCTGCCTTGGCCTCCTGAGTAACTGGAATTACAGGTGCCCACCACCATGCCCAGCTAATTTTTGTATTTTTAGTAGAGACGGGGTTTCGCCATGTTGGCCAGGCTGGTCTCGAACTCCTGACCTCATGTGATCCAGCAGCCTCGGCCTCCCCAAGTGCTGGGGTTACAGGTGTGAGCCACCGTGCCTGGCCTCAGATAATTTTTTAAACAAAGCAAGCCCGCTTCCTCTCCAAAAAATATAGGCAACATAGATAAACCATGTTTGAGATCCTGTACTTGCAGCCAGCAATGGGTCCACAACTGGGATTTGGAGGTCCCTGCCAAATATATTCCTGTTGCAAAATAACTGTTTTCTTGTGCCTTTAATTCTCATTTTCACTCCAAGTACCTGAAGCCTTCCTTCCAATCACAAGTCAGGGCCTTTCCAACTCTTGTCATCTTCCCAGAGAAGACGAGTCAGTCTCGTGTGTATTTATAATGAACTCGATGCTCTGTGGATTAGGGTTTTTTTCTCTCCTACATTCTTGTACACTACTTCAAATTTTTTTTTTTTTGAGACAGAGTCTCGCACTGTCACCCAGACTGAAGCACAGTGGCGCAATCTTGGCTCACTGCAACCTCCACCTCCCGGGTTCAAGCAGTTCTCCTGCCTCAGCCTCCTGAGTAGCTGGGATGACAGATACCTGCCACCACGCCTGGCTAATTTTTGTATTTTTAGTAGAGACGGGGTTTCGCCATGTTGGCCAGGCTGGTCTCGAACTCCTGACCTCAGGTGATCCGCCAGCCTCAGCCTCCCCAAGTGCTGGGGTTACAGGCGTGAGCCACCGTGCCTGGCCTCAAATAATTTTTTAAACAAAGCAAGCCCCCTTCCTCCCCACAAAACGACTGGCAAGATAAATAGATAAACAATGTGGGTCATAGATGCTTGGTGATTCTTCTACGGCTGAGGTATCCGAGTGGACATCTGTGTGTCCACGTAGAGAATAAGACTCATGGATATTTGCAGACACCCAAGTCAGGGAGAAATTTAAAGAGTGACAGCCTTTCCTCATGAGGAATGCATGCACGACTGCGGTGTCCACAAATCTGTTTCAATACTGTTTGAACGCTGCTTCAACCGCTGTTTCAATGCTGCTGGCTTTGGATCTGGTCCCAGTATCCCCAGTGTGAATGGGAGGCTTATCAAATTCCCAGATTTGACTCCATTTGCTTCTATCAGATTCCCCAATTTCACTCCATTTGCTTCAGCACGTATTTTCTCTACCAAATGTCCCACCTCCTATGTGCCAAGCACACAGAGATATTGGGATGGGGGGTATGGGAGGTAGAAGGGTGATTTCCAGAGGCACAAACTGCCCATCGGAGGAAGCAATGCCTACAGGCTAGGCTGGATACCAGAGGCTCAGAAAAAGAACGTGATGTTCTCATACGACCCCCATCCAGATCTCCAGGTGGCACCTGCCACCACACCTGGCTAAGTTTCTGGCTGAAAGTGAAGAAGATAACATTGCAATATTTTCTTGAAGTTCTGCGCAGGTACACAAGCTTTTAAACTCACCCTTCTTGTTTTAAAAATTCGAGACAGAACGTCGCTCCATCACCCAGGCTGGAGTGCCTTGACGTGATCTTGGCTCACTGCAGCCTCGACCTCCTGGGCTCAAGTAATTCTCCGGCCTCCCAAAGTGCTGGAATCATAGGCATGAGCCACCACACCTGGCTGAAACTCACTATTCTGTTTTTTTTTTTTTTTTTTTTTTTTTAGACGGGGTCTTGCTCTGTCGCCCAGGCTGTAGTGCAGTGGCGTGATCTCGGCTCACTGCAACCTCCACCTCCTGGGTTCACTCCATTCTCCTGCCTCAGCCTCCCGAGTAGATGGGATTACAGGCACACGCCACCATGACTTGACTAATTTTTTGCCTTTTTAGTAGAGTGGGGATTTCATCATGTTGGCCAGGATGGCCTTGATCTCTTGACCTTGTGATCCACCCGCCTTGGCCTCCCAAAGTGCTGAGATTACAGGCGTGAGCCACCACACCTGGCTGAAATTCACTATTGTTTATACTTTTTATATCTGTTAAAATTTCCATAACACATTGACATATACAAATCTGGCAATATACATCTACAAGAATAACAGATAAGCAAACATCAGAAACTGAGAAGAGAGATTTTTTCTTTCTTTTTCATAGCATGTTGTCTTTCTGTAAGCTAAAGAGAAGTGAGTGAGTGACAGACCATGGCCCCCTGGACGCATCTAAAATGCTCTATGTGGAAGAGGAAAGAAAGGGAAAATGGGGGGAGAAAGGCAAAGAGGAAATAAGACTTCTCTCCCTGAGAAGTTGAAAACCATTTCACCGTGAGGGAAGTACACCCATCTTAAATATACTTCTCATTTGGAAATGAGAGTTAAGAGAATAGTTTCTTCCACCAGGTAGGTTTAGCCTGAAGTCCTTCAGATGCTGTCTTTGGACGTATATTTGTGTGTGTGTGTGTGTGTGTCTGCATGCATACACATGTTTGACATATACATACACATATATGCTTGTGTATACATATACACGTGTATGTGTATACATATATGCATATTTATACATATACACATATATGTGTATATGCATATGTATACACATACACGTGTATATGTATACATATATGTATATTTATACATATACAATATATGTATACATATACACGTGTATGTGTATACATATATGTATATACATATACAATATATGTCTACATATACATGTACATATGTCAAACATTCATGCATGTAGACACACATATATACATACAAACTCGTGTGCATGTAGATATACACACATACATATACATACACACACACACACACACACACACATATATATATATTTATATATATATATTTTGAGACTGGCTCTGCCGCCCAGGCTGGAGTGCAGTGGCACGATAGCTCACTGCAATCTCCACCTCCGAGGTTCAAGCGATTCTCCTGCCTCAGCCTCCCAAGCAGCTGGGATCACAGGCACCCGCCACCACGCCCGGCTAATTTTTTGTATTTTTAGTAGAGATGGGGTTTCACCATGTTGGCCAGGCTGGTCTCGAACTCCTGACCTCAAGTGATCTGTCCACCTCAGCCTCCCAAAATGCTGGGATTACAGGCTTGAGCCACCATGACCGGCTTAGAACCTTTTCTTTATTTTATTTATTTTATTTTATTTTACTTTATTTTTTTGAGACAGAGTTTCGCTCTTGTCACCCAGGCTGGAGTGCAATGGCGCAATCTCGGCTCACTTTAACCTCCACCTCCCGGGTTCAAGCGATTCTCCTGCCTCAGCCTCCCGAGTAGCTGGAATTACAGGCACCCACCACCACGCCTGGCTAATTTTTGTATTTTTAGTAGAGACGGGGTTTCACCATGTTGGCCAGGCTGGTCTCGAACTCCTGACCTCAGCCATCCACCTCAGCCTCCCAAAGTACTGGGATGACAGGTGTGAGCCACTGCGCCCGACTTAGAACCTCTTCTTATCGTGAAATGATACAATTGGTTCTGTCTCCCTGGAGCACACCAATACCAATATATACGAGGCAAATTGCTGAGAAACTTTCTGCTGCTTAAAGCTCAACCACCGCACAAGCTCCTCTTGGTATACTGGAAACTACACATGGGAAGGTTACCGGAGGTGTTCAGGCATGTCCTGAACTAGGAGGTCTGGGGAGGGAGAGTGGAAAGGGCTAGGAGTCAAAAGGTACAAGTCAGAATGGGGAAGAGGGGCTCAGGCACCTGCCTCTTCCACCACTAGTAAGGAGGCCTGAAGTGGCAGGACCTGCTCCAGGATATACATACTCATAAGAGCATGGCTGCCCAGGGGCCTGAGGTCTTACCCTTCATCCCCCCAAGCTGTGTAATGCTCCAGGTGTGCACCCAGCGCGATGTGGGAAGGCAGCTTTCCCCTGGGTTCCAGCCTTGTAACTGCCTGTGGTCAGACCCACAGGACCATATTTAGGCCACTGACCTGGGTTTGGAATTCCTGTCTCATTCTCAGCTTCCTGCATAACCAGGAATGTGACCTGAGGGAATTTCAGTTCCACCTCTGCAGAGGGAGTGACCACAGGGCCTATCGTGGGCTCTGAGAAGAGAAGAAGTGGGGCCAACTAGTCCTGGGCAATGTGCAGAAGATGGTCAGGGTTAGGTCCAAGTGTTCAGCAGCCAGCAGAACATTGTCTGTGTTAGGTCCTCTAGGTGCAGGACCTTGAGGTTGGACCCACTAACCCTGGCACTGATAGGCCCTTCTAGGTGCTCAGCAAATTGCCCGTCTTCTGCAGTGAATCAGTAGGATGTGCCCAGTCAATAGGCCATCCCCCAGGCCACCTGCAATGGTCATCAGTGAGCCCCTGGGGTCAACAAACCATCTCCAAGGCCACCAACAGTGGTGGTCAGTGAGTCCCCAGGTCAAGAGACCACTTCCCAGCCCACCTGTAATGGTCACCAGTGAGTCCCCAGGGTCAACAAACCATCTCCCAAGTCACCTGCAGTGGTGGTCAGTGAGTCCCCAAGGTCAACAAACCATCTCCAAGTCACCTGCAATGGTGGTGAGTCCCCAAGGTCAACAAACCATCTCCAAGGCCACCAGCAATGGTGGTCAGTGAGTCCCCAGGTCAACAGACCACTTCCCAGCCCACCTGCAGTGGTCACCAGTGAGCCCCTGGGGTCAACAGACCATCATCGCCAAGGCCACCAGCAATGGCCATCAGTGAGCCCACAAGGTCAACACACCACCTCCCAGACAACCTGCAATGGCCGTCAGTGAGCCCCCAAGGTCAACAGACCACTTGAAATGGTCATCAGTGACTCCCCAGGGTCAACAGACCATCTCCCAGGCCACCTGTAATGGTCATCAATGAGTCCCCAAGGTCAACAGACCACCTCCCAGGCTACCGGCAGTGGTCACCAGTGAGCCCCTGGGGTCAACAGATCACCTCTAAGGCCACCAGCAATGGTGGTCAGTGGGCCCCACCAAGTCAACACATCACAGGCCACCTGTGATGATGGTCAGTGAACCCCTGGGGCCAACAGAACACCTCCCAGGCCACTTGTGATAACCATCAGTGTGCCACACCAGGTCCTTAGCAGACCATGGTCCAGGCCTCACTGCCCTGGCCTTTCATGGGGCTAGTGTGTCTGTGGTGTCTCTCTCATACACACACAAAACACACAACATACAACATGTACGTGCTCGCACACACACACCGTCCCTTGTTAAATGCTCATGTTCATGATATAACTTATGTGAGAAGAAAATTTGTATTTGTTCCTGAAAACAGAAGACACTATGAGACTGTGTTTTAGAGGTGTGCCTGCAGAACTCGCTGTTGACATAAATCCAGCAGCATCTGCCCAGTTGGTGGGGAATGCTGGACACAGGACCCCAAGCCTCAGGGCATGGAAGATCAGCATGCTATCCATAAAAATCTCTGGGACCAGTGGGTGGAGGACTAGGCACTGTGCCCATCAATCCAATTAAGCTACTGAAGCTTCCCTGGTCAGTAATTAAGCAGATCACTGGCCGGGCCTGGGGATCCCATCATCACCGCTGTTTGATTTCGTTCTCTGTAGAAGTGCTTGGAATGAAAGTCGGTTTAGCTACAAAACAGCTCTGTAACTCCTCAATGCCGAGAAGTCCTGGCCCAAGCCGCCACCCCGTGCAGGAGATTGTTTCTGCTCCGTGCACAAAGAATCCCCAATCTCCCAACAGTTGGGCTGGCTCGATGATTTTCCAGCTCTTCGATTTGCACTTTCTCCCTCCCTCCCTGAGCTTGTAATGATGGTTCACACTTTATTTCTCCCTGTGCTAGACCCAGAGTCCCAGCTGGAAGTGATGTACTTGATTGAAAAGTTAAAACATAGATCAGAACACCCAGTCCCTTGGTTGGGAGCCTGATGACCTCAAATCTTGCCTCCTTTGTGGGTGAAGTGAAGGGGGCTCCTTGTGATGAGAGGAGATTTTGGGGGCCACTGTCTTTTTGTATGTTGCTGTAACAAAATACTTTAGACTGGGTGGCTTTTGAACACCAGATGTTTATTGCTCACAGTTCTGGAAGTTGGATGTCCAAAATCAAGACATAGAAGATTCAGTGTCTGGTAAGAACCCAGTTCCTGGTTCGTAGATGGCACCTTCTTGCTGTGTCCTTGCATGGTAGAAGGAAAAAAAGGAGCTCTCTGGGGTTCTTTTGATAAGAGCACTCATCCCATCCATGGAGCTTCCATTCTCTTGACCTCATCACTTTCCAAGGGTTCCACCTCTTAATACTATCACCTTGAGTATTAGCTTTCCTCATATGAACTTTGGGGACACAGAAACCTTCAGAGCATAGCACAAATGTTCAAACAAAAATACGTATCCAATTATTCATAGCAGCATTCTTCCCAATCACCAACGGGTAAATACAACCCAAATGTTCACCCATAGGTGAATGGAGAAACAAAATGGCGTCTATCCATATGGTGGAATATGAAACAGCCATCAAACACAATGAAATCCTGACACACGCTGCTATGTGAGTGTACTTTGAGAACATTATGTTCAGTAAATGAAGCCAGATATAAATAAGCCACACCTTGGGTTATTCCATTTATGTGAAATGTCTAGAAGGAATGAATCCCTAGAGATAGAAAGTAGATTAGGGGTTTGCATGGGTTGGGAAAAGGAGGAGTGAGGGCTTAATAGGTACAAGGTCTCCATTTAGGGTGATTAGAATGTTCTGGAAGGAGATGGAGGTAATGGCTATACAGCATGGGGAATGTTGAATGTTCTGGAAGGAGATGGAGGTAATGGCTATACAGCATGGGGAATGTTCTGAATGTCACTAGTAGTAAATGTTATGTTATATGTATTTTGCCATAATTAAAATGTAAAGATAGCTGGGTGTGGTGGCTCACACCTGTAATCCCAGCACTTTGGGAGGTGGAGGTAGGTGGATCACCTGAGATCAGGAGTTTGAGACCAGCCAGACCAACATGGTGAAACCAACATCTCTACTAAAATACAAAATGAGCATGGTGTGGTGACGGGCGCCTGTAATCCCAGCTACTTAGGAGGCTGAGGCAGGATGATTGCTTGAACCCAGGAGGCAAAGGTTGCAGTGAGCCAAGTTTGCATCATTGCACTCCACCCTGGGCAGCAGAGCGAGACTCTGTCTCAAAAAAAAAAAGGAAAGAAAATTTTAATTCCCAGCTCACAGTGCCTGAGATAAGGTATAGGACAGAACAAGGACACCATAAGCAAGGCTTGCTCTTTGTGAGGGAAGCCTGAGAGAAACTTCACTTGCTATGTATTGTTTAAGATGCTATGTATTGTTTTAATATCAAATGCTGTGCATTACAGTGCATAAGGTATCTTTTGAAGCTTTCCTGAAGCTTCCATTTGGAAAATCATGCTTAACCCTACACCTGGTCTTCTTGGCAAGTCAACTCAAAAGGACACCCCGCTACACACCACCTCCTAGTGGCAACGAAGACTAATTGCAGGAATACTCCTACATTCAGATCCTCATTCAAGACTGTCCTGCCAACCCAGAACTCAGCCTTGAAAAATCAGAATGAGGATCTTTGAAGTGGGAGAGGGATGGGAGGTAATTAGAAGAGGAGAGGCATTTTTTTTTTTGAGATGGAGTTTTCCGTTTTGTCACCCAGGCTGGAGTGCAATGGCACAATCTCAGCTCACTGCAACCTCCACATCTCAGGTTCAAGTGATTCTCCTGCCTCAGCCTCCCCAGTAGCTGGGACTACAGGCATGTGCCACCACACCCAGCTAATTTTTTATATTTAGTAGAGATGGGGATTCACCATGTTGGCCAGGCTGTTCTCAAACTCCTGACCTCAGGTGATCTACCCGCCTCGGCCTCCCAAAGTGCTGGGATTACAGGCATGAGCCACCGCGCCCGGCCGAGGAGAGGCATTTCTAAACTTGAGGCATTGTTTTAAATTTGAAAACAAACATTTAAAAAATCATTGCCCAGTGGATCAATTATTAGTGGATCAATTATTATTAAATCTATCCATTTGAAACACACCTGATGCTTAAGGAAGACCCAGGTAGAACCCAAAGTTTGCTTCCCTTGCAAGAAAAAGAAAATAACTACATCAAGTCAAATGGAAGGAGTTTCACCCCAAGTAATACAACGGTCTCATTAGGTATGCATGCCACGAGTCCAGGCTCTCAACCTTGTGCTATACTTTGGGAAAAGAATGAGATAAACTTATTCTTTTTTCAGCCAAATACCAAGAAAGAATGAAGATCTCAGGAATTTCAATGAGACTAAGTTGCCCAGCTAGCTGTTTTTATTTAAATAAGGACAATGATGACTATGATTATATGTTCAGAACTAGAATAAAGCTCTTATCTTATGAAAACAGATATTTTCAGAATTTTTCAGTCACTTTCTTTGTATAATCCCTTCCTCACTTTTCTTCTTTTGCTTTCAGTAAACGAACAGAGCGGAAAACATAAACCCCTTCATTAAAAGTCTCTGCAAAAAGATGCAAACTTTCTAAAAATGTCTTTCACTTCACCTATTCCACAGAAATGATTGTGATTCTCTTTGAAAAAACCTGCAGCTCATTTTTGAACCAGGCTCTTACTAGCATGGATTAAGTAAAAGCCTGAACATACATTTTATTTTGTAAAAGAAATGTTCACATTCAGTTAAAAGTATTGGATCTCACTTATATAAAGAATCTACAAAAATAAAAGAATGAAAAGAAGGCAGAAAGAAGGAAATGAAAAAGAAAGGAAGGCAAATACAAAATACAAAAAATTAGCTGGGCATGGTGGTGGGTGCCTGCAGTCCCAGCTACTCAGGAGGCTGAGGCAGGAGAATGGCGTGAACCCGGGAGGCGGAGCTTGCAGTGAGCCAAGATCACGCCACTGCACTCCAGCCTGGGCGAAAGAGCGAGACTCCTTATCAGAAAAAAGGAAGAAAGGAAAGAAGGAAGGAAGGAAGAAAGAAAATATATAGAAATAGAAAAAATGGTGGTTGTTATAGATGATGTAGAATAAGTCTAGAAATCAAATGCAAAATATAAGGACTATAATACATTTCATATTTAGGATTTTTGTTAAGAGAGTAGATTTAAGGTGCTCTTGTCGCAAAAAAGGTAAATATGTGAGATGATAGCTGTGTTCATTTTCTTAACAATTATAATCATTTCACTATGTCACTATATCAAAAAATCATGTTGCACACCTTAAATACATACAACAGAAATTAATTTTAAAAAAGAAACCAACTCAAACAATGAATCCGGGGATGCTATAATTTATATCAGAAGAGTGCTTTAGAATTGACAAAGTACGCTACACACTTTACCTTGTTGGAACCCTTCCATAAATACGGAGAAACCATCTTTCATTCTCATTTTACAGATGAGAAATGGAGGCTTAAAGAGAGCTAAGTCTCTACCCAAGGTCGTATAACCTGTTCAACACAATATGCTATTCAGGAAAAGCAGAGAGTACTGCGGTCGACATGAATTATTAGTGTGGGCATGTTTATGTGTTTAGTGAACCCAGAGAGGCAATAACCATTATGCCTCTTTGCTCAAGTTGGCCGAATTAAACAAGCCGTCTTGACTCCACCCTGTATGGTTTGTGTCTCCCAAGCTTCATGTGTTGGAAACTTCTCTCTCAAATTAGTATGTTGTAGTATTTGGAGTGGCACCCTTAGGAGACAATTAGAATTAGGTAAGATCATCAAAGCGAGGCCCACATGGACAGAGCTGGTGGCATTATAAGTCCTCCACTATGTTGTACTATAGCAAGAGGCTCTCATCAGATGCAGGCACCATGCCTTTTGGACTTGCCAGCCTCCAGGACTTTACAAAATAAACTTCTTCTGTGAATTACCCAGACGGTGTTACTCTGTTGTAGCAACAGCAAATGGATTAAGACACCTCCTGGGCCGGGTGCAGTGGCTCACGTCTGTTATCCCAGCACTTTGAGAGGCTGAGGTGGGTGGATCACTTGAGGTCAGGAGTTCGAGACTAGCCTGGCCAACATCGTGAAACTCCATCTCTACTAAAAATACAAAAATTAGCCAGGCTTGGTGGCAGTGCCTGTAATGCCAGCTACTCGGGAGGTGGAGACAGGAGAATTGCTTGAACCCGGGAAGCAGAGGTTGCAGTGAGCTGAGATTGTGCCACTGCACTCCAGCCTGGGCAACAGAGCGAGACTCCGTCTCAAAAAAAAAAAAAAAAAAAAAAAGAGATACCTCCTGAACTCAGCCTGGCTATGCGTCTTCTGCAAAGCAATTCCATTCACTTCAGAACAAGCCATCCGTGGCCTCCCAAAGAACATTCACAGAGACCATTTTTCTTTCCTGGAAAACTCTCCGCTGCAAAGCGTATTCTGTCTCTGACAGTTACTTGGACTTCACAGGCATTTATGCAGTGACCTTTTTGACTGTTGACGATCTTTCATTTCCAGTTGGTCTCGGTAGAAGTGGCATTTCACACCCACCCGGCAATGATGCCAGACCAGGCCTGATTCTCCTCTGTCCCAACGGGCAATGAATCGGTGCTTGATGATACGTAAACACAGCTGCATGGAAGAACTCCAGAGCTCGAGTTCAAATTCCCAGTGCCTCCCTCCGTTTCCTGATAGATAAGCAACAGTGCCTCTAGATGGTCAAAGAGAGACCTCTGCCGAAGCCAATTCCATCATCTTCATGAACAGCCACCCCCTCAGCATCAACTGAGAGCATCAGTATACTTGTAAAATGAATACTAGAAGCCTACGGGGACTTACGCAGAAGGCACTCAGGTCTTTTGAGATTTTGACTCGCTGCCATATTGGAGGATTGGAATGTAAGGTGCCCTGCAGTAGAGGACATCTTCTGTTGTAGCTTTGTTTCTTTAGTGCTTATTCCATGATGAGTGCAGGTACAACCCTGCTCATTCCCAGCAAGGGCAGGATAGCAGAAGTCCAGGCTTCATCTGTCTCACAGAACACAGGTAAATGGACATGGATTGTCCTATATAAAGAAATGTGCCAAATTGGTCCAATGTACAGAAACTGTAGTCACTCAACTTTGCTTTGCTTTTTCCTTCCTTCCTCCCTCCCTCCCTCGTTTCTTTCTCTCTTTCTTTCATCTTTCTTTCTCTTTCTTCCTTTCTCTTTCTCTTTTTTTCTTTTTCTTTGTCTCTTTCTCTCTTTCTCTCTCTCTTTCTCTTTCTTTCTCTCTCTCTTTCTCCTTCCTTCCAGCCTGGCCAACATGGTGAAATCCCGTCCCTACTAAAAATACAAAAATTAGCCGGGCATGATGGTGCACACCTGTAATCCCAGCTACTCGGGAGGCTGAGGCAGGAGAATTGCTTCAACCCAGGAGGCAGACATTGCAGTGAGCTGAGATTGCACCGCTGTACTCCAGCCTGGACAACAGAGCAAAACTCCGTCAAAAAAAAAAAAAAAAGAAAGAAAAGAAAAGAAAGAGAAGGGGCCCAGGAGTGACTTGCTGGAGAATTTGGCTCAGGGGTGGTCCCTGTTCAGCCCATTTCTGTCTCAACAAAGGAGATCAAAGCTACACTTAGAAGCTTTCCTAGGTCACAAAAGCATCAATGTTGTTAGTTAGCAACGGGGACTATTTTTATGGCTTTTGAAGACAGGGATAAAGTCCTTCTATGGTGAAAGTCACAAGGGATATGGACTATATAATCAGGACAAAATAAAGGGAAGATGGTGAATTATTACAAATCAAAAAACTTTTATGAGACAAATCAGCCATCTAAAGTGTGTGGAGTTTCTTTCCATTTTTATTTAAAGAAACCAACCACAGAAAGTCATTTCTAAGACTGAGGGAAATTTGAACACATACTGATGAGTAGATAAAAGTATTGTTGGGCCGGGCGCAGTGGCTGACACCTGTAATCCCTGCACTTTGGGAGGCCAAGGCGGGTGAATCACAAGGTCGAGAGTTTGAGACCAGCCTGGCCAACATGGTGAAACTCAGTGTCTACTAAAAATACAAAAAAGTCAGCCGGGCATAGTTGCGGGCACCTGTAATCCCAGATACTTGGGAGGCTGAGGCAGGAGAATTGCTTGAACCCAGGAGGCAGAGGTTGCAGTGAGCCGAGATCACGCCACTGCACTCCAGCCTGGACGACAGAGTGAGACTCTGTCGAAGAACAAAAAGGCCTGATGAGGAAAAAAAAAAAAAAGTTCTGTAGAATTGAAAGGCAGAATGATAATGATGTCTAAGATTTTCTTTCAAATACCGTGGCCAAAAAAATTAAAATGGAAAAATAAAACACATTGATAACTGTTTGTAATCGTTAAAACCTGAGTGGTAGATGCATTAGGGTTCATTAAACCATTTTTTAAGGAAACAGAATTCGAGATCTGAGTACACAATCTCCATCTGAAAGCAAAAAATGCTTCTCCATTTTTAGAAACCAGTTTGTAGATAAGTATGCATGCTGTTAGCTTATATGCTTTAATGCTCTTTAATACGATTTTATATTGTGCCACTGGAAGAATTGTATTTCGTCACTTAGAAAATATCTACTCTAATCTGTAAAAGCAGAATAAATTGCTTCACCAAAGAGACACACAGAGAGAACCCTCAGTGAATCAGACAGCTCAATCATCTATGTAAATATGACCTGAGGGATGGCAGCATTGGGCTTCATTTAATTATTTTACAAAACGTGCCATGCATTTACCATTCCATATACTTTACGATCTTCTGTGGAACAGCTGCAGCCCACACTGCCATACTTGGAAATTGTTTCCATCCATGACACAGGCGCCACTGTGGGCTTAGACATTGCATTATAAAACACGGTGCTTTTCACCAGGTTTATCACTATACCAGCTTATATTTTGGAATAACTTCTATTGATTCTCAAGGATTGCCAGCGGAGACATACTTGGTAGTTACCCAAATGTATTGCGTGGCTGAAATTCATTTTTTGTTTTTTTGAGAAGGAGTTTTGCTCTTGTTGCCCAGGCTGGAGTGCCATGGCAGAATCTCAGCTCACTGCAACCTCCGCCTCCCGGATTCAAGCGATTCTCCTGCCTCAGCCTCCCAAGTAGCTGGGATGACAGGCATAAGCCACCACACCCAGCTGATTTTTTGTATTTGTTAGAGACAGAGTTTCACCATGTTAGTCAGGCTGTTCTCAAACTCCTGACCTCAGGTGATCGACCCGCTTCAGCCTCCCAACGTGCTGGGATTACAGGCATGAGTCTCCACGTCCGGCGGCGTGACTGAAATCTTTACATGAGTTTATATAACGGGTGTTACACACAGTGGCAGGTTACAGTTCTTAATATACAGCCATGGATGGATTTCACTGAGCTTTCCAGCTTAACTCACATTTTAATCAAAGCTGGCTTTTAACATTTTTCCACTTGTCATTAAAAAAAAAAATCCACTGACTGCCTATGTGTCACCAATGACATGATTATTAAGAATCCTCGTTGAGTAGACAATGAGTCACTATGCAAAGCAGGCGGGAAGGTATACTGCCAACCCTGTTCACTAAATGGCAACCTCCTGTTCCAAGGTCTTTTTATATACAAAATCATTGACAGCATCAGATAGCTGTTAAAGACCTCAAGATAGTATTTGAGGTCTCAGCCTTGGCAAGTCTGAATATATTCATTAAAAGCAATTGCTTTAGCGTAGTATTCAGAAAGACTCTTTGATGATTTCAAGCTCTTGTGCCATTGAATTAAGGTAGACTTCCTTGTTATCTAGTTTGACATCCTGTTATCTAGTTTCTGGCCAAATTGCCTCTGTGGCCAGAACATTCTCTTTGTCTAAGTTGGATCATGTCCTCTCTCTCCTTTAAAGAATGCTTTGAGGTCCTACTCACTCTCTTTACTGAGCTACGTAAGTTGCCACAAATCCTCTTCCTTAAAATTGTAGCTTATTCTGTACAGCAAAACAAAGAATCAACAGAGTAAACACACAACTCACAGAATGGGAGAAAAATTTGCCCAACTATGAATCCGACGAAGGACTAACATCCAGAATCTACAAGGAACTCAAACAAATCAGCAGGAAAAAAAAACAAACAATCCCATCAAAACATAGGCAAAGGGCATGAATAGACAATTCTCAAAAGTAGATATATGAATGTCCAATGAGCATATGAAAAAATGCTCAACATCACTAATGATCAGGGAAATGAAAATTAAAACCACAGTGAGATACCATCTTACTCCTGCAAGAATGGCCATAATTCAAAAATCAAAGAATAACAGATGTTGGTGTGGATGTGGTGAAAAGGGAACACTTTTACACTGCTGGTGGGAATGTAAACTAGTTTAACCACTATGGAAACCACTGCGGAGATTCCTTAAAGAACTAATACTAGAACTACCATTTGTTCCCGGTATGGAGACTCCTTAAAGAACTAATAATAGAACCACCATTTGATCCAGGTATGGAGATTCCTTGAAGAATTAATAATAGAACCACCATTTGATCCAGGTATGGAGACTCCTTGAAGAACTAAAACTAGAACTACCATTTGATCCAGGTATGGAGATTCCTGAAAGAACTAATAATAGAACTACCATTTGATCCAGGTATGGAGACTCCTTAAAGAACTAATAGTAGAACTACCATTGGATTCAGGTATGGAGACTCCTTAAAGAACTAATACTAGAACTACCATTTGATCCAGGTATGGAGACTCCTTGAAGAACTAATAATAGAACTACCATTTGATCCAGGTATGGAGGTTCCTTGAAGAACTAAAAGTAGATCAACAATTTCATCCAGCAATCTCAGAACTGAGTATCTACACAGTGGAAAAGAAGTCATTATATGAAAAAAGGCACTTGCCTTTTATTATTATTTATTGATTGACTGACTTTTGTTTCAGTAGTTTTTGGAGGACAGGTGGTTTTAGGTTACATGGATGAGTTCTTTAGTGGTAACTGATAGCAGCACAATTCGCGATTGCAAAAATATGACACCAGCCTAAATCCCCATCAACCAAGGAGTGGATAAAGAAAGTGTGGTGTATATACACCACGGAATACTACTCACCCATAAAATGGAGCAAAATAATGTATTTTGCAGTAACATGGATGGAAGTGGAGGCCATTATTCCAAGTGAAGTAACTTGGGTATAAGAAAACTAAATATCAAACGTTCTCAGTCATAAGTGCGAGCTAAGCTACGAGGATGCAAAGGCATAAGAATTATACAATGGACTTTGAGGACTCGGGGGAAAGGGTAGGAGGGGAGTGAGGGATAAAAGACTACACATTGAGTACAGTGTACATTCCTTGAGTGATGGGTGCATGAAAATCTCAAAAATCACTGCTAAAGAAATTATCCATGTAACCTAAAACCACCTGTTCTCCAAAAATGACTGAAACAAAAGTAAATAAATAAGTAATAAAAAAAATTGTAGCTTAAGCAGCTCAGCTTTCATTGTAATGGTATTCCTTAGCTAGGGCAGCCATGAAAAAAAAAAATCACTGCTGAAGAAATGGCTCAGGCAAGACACAGTGGCTCACACCTGTTATCTCAGAATTTGGGAGGCCAAGGTGGCTGGATGACTTGAGGTCAAGAGTTTGAAACAAGATTGGCCAACATGGTGAAACCTCGTCTATACCAAAAATATAAAAAATTATCCGGGCATGGTGGCTTGTGCCTGTAATCCCAGCTACTCAGGAAGCTGAGGCAGGAGAATCACTTGAACCCAGGAGGCAGAGGTCACAGTGAACCGAGATTGCGCCACTGCACTCCAGCCTGGGTGACAGAGCAAAACTCCATCTCAGAAAGAGAGAAGAAACAAGGAAAGGAAGGAAAGGAAGCAAAGGAAGGAAAAGAAGAAAGAGAGAAAGAGAGAGAAAGGAAGGAAGGAAGGAAGAAAGAAAGAAAGAAAAAAGAAAAGAAAGAAGGAAGAAAAGAAAAAAGTGGCTGCAATGAACAGAAATGGATTCTCTCACAGCTCTGGAGACCAGAAGTCTGAAATGAAGGTGTCTACAGAGTTGGTTTACTTCTGGAGGCTTTGAGGGAGAATCTGTTCCAGGTCTCCCCGCTAGCATCTGGTGGTCGCCAGCACGTCTTGGTGCTCCTTGGCTGGTGGACGCATTACCTCAATCTCTGCTTCTTATCTTCTCCGTTTCCCTTGGTGTCTGGACTCATTACATTTGCAGAGACCTGATTTCCAAAGAAGGTCACGTTAACAGGTACCTGGCGTCAGAACTTGAACCTAATGTTGTAGGGCACACAATTCTACCCATGTCACTCCCTGACACCCAGATTCTGTCCTTTGCTTTCATGGTTGTTGTGACAATACATGAGTCTTCCCTACATGTACTAGATCAGCATTCCTCAAAAGTAGAGATGAAAACCAACATCTGGCTGGGTGCAGTGGCTCACACCTGTAATTCCAGCACTTTGGGAGGCGGAGGCAGGCAGATCACCTGAGGTCAGGAGTTTGAGACCGGCTGGGCCAACATGGTGAAACCCCGTCTCTACTAAAAATACAAAAAAAAAAAAAAAAAAATTAGGCGGGAGTGGTGGCAGGCGCCTGTAATCCCAGCTACTCAGGAGGTTGAGGCAGGAGAAGCGCTTAAACCCGTGAGGCAGAGGTTGCAGTGAGCCAAGATCACACCATTGCACTCCAGCGTGGGCAACAAGAGTGAAACTCCATCATCTCAAAAAAAAAAAAGAAAAAGAAAAGAAAAGCAGTATCTGGGTACTGATAGACTATTTAAAACGTGATTGCAGCAGGGCACAATGGCTCATGCCTGTAATCCCAGCACTTTGAGAGGCCGAGGTGGGCAGATCACGAGGTCACGAGATCAAGACCATCCTGGCTAACACAGTGAAACCCAGTCTCTACTAAAAATACAAAAAAATTAGGCGGGCCTGGTGGCGGGCACCTGTAATCCCAGCTGCTCAGGAGGTTGAGGCAGAAGAATCGCTTAAACCCGGGAGGCGGAGGTTGCAGTGAGCCAAGATCACGCCATCGCACTCTAGCCTAGGCAACAAGAGCAAAACTCCATCTCAAAAAAAAGAAAAGAGAAAAGAAAAGCAGTATCTGGATACTGATAGATTATTTAAAAGGTGATTGCAGCCTGGCATGGTGGCTCATGCCTGTAATCCCAGCATTTTGGGAGGCCGAGGCGGGCAGATCATGAGGTCAGGAGATCGAGACTATCCTGGCTAACATGTTGAAATCCATCTCTACTAAAAATACAACAAAAACAACAACAAAAAAACTTAGCCAGGTGTTGTGGTGTGTGCCCGCAGTGCCAGCGACTTGGGAGGCTGAGGCAGGAGAATGGCGCGAACCCGGGAGGTGGAGTTTGCAGTGAGCCGAGATCGCTCCACTGCACTCCAGCCTAGGGGACAGAGCGAGACTCCGTCTCAAAAAAAAAAAAAAAAAAAAAAAAAAAGGTGATTGCATAAAGCAAAAATAAGAGATGGTGAGAGGAGTGCTGCCATATGGGGAAGATCCAACAGCTGGGGTTGCTATGGCACTTGTTACTGCCATGGGCAAGGGGGTCTGTATCCTGCTGAGGACCCTCTGAAGGATGGAAAGGCTGGAACATTTATCTATCAATTCCTGTTCTCTCACTGCACAGATGGAATCCGTTCTGCAGCATGGAGCAACTCCCTATGCTTCCAAGAAAGCCCTGAGTGAGATGGCTAGCTCCAACTATGTGGATGCAGAGACACAGAGAAGGCTGCAGTGTGATGGGGGCTATGAGAAGTGACCACAATGAAACAACCCAACATCAGTGCATGGATCTTCACTCATCCACAATACCCAGAAAACAAGATCAATAAGCATTCGGGGCATAGCACCAGGTACGGAGCTAAGCTAGGTATGCATTCAACGTCTGACCCCAGAAAAAGGGATATTGTAAATTGGTGCTGTAACTCAGGGGTCCTGAATCCCCAGGGCACAGACCACCACTGGTCCATAGCCTGTTAGGAACCGGGCCACAGAGCAGGAGGTGGGCAGCAGGTGAGTAGCAAAGCTTCATCTGTATTTTTTTATTTTTTATTTTTTGAGATGGAGTCTCATTCTGTCACCCAGGCTGGAGTCCAGTGGTGCAATCTCAGCTCACTGCAACCTCCGCCGCCTGGGTTCAAGCGATTCTCCTGCCTCAGCCTCCTGAGTAGCTGGAATTACAGGTAGTCACACCCCACATCAAGCTAATTTTTGTATTTTTAGTAGAGACAGTGTTTCACCATGTTGGCCAGGCTGGTCTTGAACTCCTGACCTCAGGTGATCCGCCCACCTTGGCCTCACAAAGTGCTGGGATTACGGGCATGAGCCACCATACCTGGCTTCTTCGTCTGTGTTAACGGCTGCTCCCCATCACTTGTGTTACCACCTGAGCTCCACCTCTTGTCAGATCAGCAGTGGCGTTAGAGTCTCATAGCAGTGTGAACCCTATTGCGAACCGCACATGTGAGGGATCTAGGTTACGTGCTCCTTATGAAAATCTAATGTGTGATGATCTGTTACTGTCTCCCATCACGCCTGGATGGGACCATCTAGTTGCAGGAAAACAAGCTCAGGGCTCCCACTGATTCTATGCAATGGTGAGTTGTAGAATTATTTCATTCTGTATTACAATGTAATAATAATAATAGAAATGAAGAACACAATCAATGTCATGTACTCAAATCATCCCAAAACCATCTCCAGGTCATCATCCATGGAAAAAATCATCTTCCACAAAACTGGTCCCTGGTACCAAAAGGGTTGGGAACCACGGCTGTAAATAAAGCTTGAATGGAAAACAGTATGAAGATTTCTCAAAAGACTAAAAATAAAACTATGATTTGATCGAGGAATCCCACTCCTGGGCATAAACCCAAAGGGTAAGAAATCATCCTTTCAATGTATCACCTGAGGTTAGCAGTTTGAGACCAGCCTGGCCAACATGGTGAAACCACATCTCTACTAAAAATACAAAATTAACTGAGTGTGGTGGCAGGTGCCCGTAATCCCAGCTACTTGGGAGGCTGAGGCAGGAGAATTGCTTGAACCCAGGAGGTGGACATTGCAGTGAGCCGAGATCACACCACTGGACTCCACCTGGGTGACAGAATGAGACTCTGTCTCGAAAGAAGAAAGAAAGAAAGAAAAGAAAAGAAAAGAAAGAAAGAAAGAAAGAAAGAAAGAAAGAAAGAAAGAAAGAAAGAAAGGAAAGAAAGAAAGAAAGAAAGAAAGAAAGAAAGAAAGAAAGAAAGAAAGAAAGGAAAGAAAGGAAAGAAAGAAAGGAAAGAAAGAAAGGAAAGAAAGAAAGGAAAGAAAGGAAAGAAAGAAAGAAAGAAAGAAAGAAAGAAAGAAAGAAAGAAAGAAAAAGAAAGAAAGAAATCATCCCATCAAAAATACACCCATAGTCATATGTTTATCACAGTATATTCACAGCAACAAAGATACGGAATCAGTCTAGGTATCTGCCATTGGAGAATTAGATTAAAAAAAAAAACTGTGGTATTTATACACCATGGAATATTACACAGGCTTAAAAAGAATGAAATCATGTCTTCCAAAGAGATGTGGATGAAGCTGGAGGCCATTATCCTAAGATAAATAACTCAGAAAAAGAAAATCAAATACTGTATGTTCTTACTTATAAGTAGGAGCTAAATAATAGGTACCCATAAACATAAGAGATGGAGTTCACAGACACTGGGGAGTCCAAAGGGGAGAGTGTTGGGGTGTGGGGGGGTGAAAGTTGAAAATGTATCTCTTTTTTTTGTCTTTTTTTTTTTTGAGATGGAGTCTCACTCTGTTGCCCAGGCTGGAATGCAGTGGCGAGATCTCGGCTCACTGCAACCTCTGCCTCCCAGGTTCAAGTGATCCTCCTGCCTCAGCCTCCCAAGTAGCTGGGATTACAAGTGCCTGCCACCATGCCCAGCTAGTTTTTGTATTTTTAGTAGATACAGGGTTTCACCATGTTGGCCAGGTGGGTCTTGAACTCCTGACCTTGCGATCCACCTGCCTCAGCCTCCTAAAGTGCTGGGATTACAGGCTTCAGCCACCATGCCCAGCCAGGAGCAGGTGTCTTACATGGCCAGAACAGGAGGAAGAGAGGAGAGAGAGAAGATGCCATACAGTTTTAAACAACCCAATCTCATGAGAATTCACTCACTATACAGTAGCAAGGGGGATGGCGTTACACCATTCATGAGAACTCTGCCCCCTTTATCCCATCACCTCCCACCAGCTCCTCTACCTCCAACACTAGAGATTACAATTTGACATGAGATTTGGGTGGGAACACAGATGCAAACCATATCGCCAGGCCTGTTGAGTCAACTCCTTTCCGTACACACATGCAAAATTTCAAATTGGTCAGTAAAGCCTCACCCATCACCCACTTCCACCAATCCCACCTCCAGTCATGGCCAAAGAAGGCACAAGACCCCAGTTCAAATCACTGTCTTGTGAGGCTGTTCTTTCTACTAGGACCTCAGTTGTGTCTACCAATGATGACTTCAATTGTGTACGATGGATCACTACCAATTTGGAAGTTGCCCTCCCAGCTCTGGTTTCCCCAGCTGTAAAATGGATAAGGTTGTGCTAGATAATTCCCAAGGCTCTATCCATCTTTGATATCCTCTGACTGAATACAGATATTCTACAGAAGGACTGGAGTTGGGCTGTGTCCCAGAACAAAGTGTTACACTTAGGTGCTCTTATCTGTGTTCCTGCCCTTGAGAAAAAAAGTGTCTTCATCCTGCCTAATTTATCAGCTTGTCCTGCATTCCAGAAAATCACAGCTATTTGGCAAATACAAATAGAGTCTCATCAGAATAAGACTCTTAAAACAGTTTTCTGGGTTTTGTTTGTACGTTTTTCTTCCTTAAGACATACCTTGACTCGGGAGGACATTTTCTAGATCATTTAAGTAATGGGGTCTTCCAAGAGCATCTCTTAGATCAGCAAAGTCTGGTTGAATTTCCGTGCCTGCTATTATAAATGGGAACATGCTGTCCTCTGCCGCTCTTACCATTCCAGCCCAAATGGAAGATCCTGTTTAATTTGGTTATTTGAAAGTAATTTCATAGATGAGGAAAGGAAGAACACAGATGTTAGATTGCTTCAAGGCCATTACGATATTGCAGAAGAGATTAGCCTTCTTGGAGTTCTGGGTCGGGCGAGGAGAAGGAAGACGAATGAAGGGTAGGAAACAATATGTATTTATCTTTAAGTTTAGGAGTCCAAAACACCACTTGTTCAGAGATGCCAAATAATTAATTTCCTCAAACCAGGCCACTTTCGGAATGCTGAACACTGCTTGTTTTCTTTGAGCCTCCACATTTTATCATCTTTTCAATGTTCCTATGCAATTTGAAAGGTAGCAAGGGGTTGAAAGATTCCTCAATCCCAGCACTTTGGGAGTCTGAGGTGGGCAGATCACAAGGTCAGGAGATCGAGACCATCCTAGACAAGATGGTGAAACCCCATGTCTACTAAAAATACAAAAAAAAAAAAAAAAAAAAAAAATCAGCCGGCCGTGGTGGCATGCGCCTGTAGTCCCTGCTACTTGGGAGGCTGAGACAGGAGAATTGCTTGAATCTGAGAGACGGATGTTGCAGTGAGCCGAGATCGTGCCACTGAACTCCCAGCCTGGTGACAGAGCAAGACTCTGTCTCAAAGAAAAAAAAAAAGAAAGAGAGATTCCTCTCTGTGGGTATTCTATGCTTAATTCTCTCTTCTTCCAAGAGCACTAAAAACACAAGGAAGGTCATAGGAGAAACAGGCCACATCTCAGCACCCCAAAATCGATCCCACAGTTAGAGGGCATGCATTAGGATTCAGATGCTGTTGTAGAAAAATACCAACAACTGCGTGGCTTGAAACAGCAGACGTCTGTTCTCTCGAACTTCTGGAGGCCAACAGCTGAGATCAAGGTATCAGTAGGCTTGGTTCCTTCTGGAGGCTCAGAGGAGACATCAGGAAACTTACAAACATGGCAGAAGGCAAAGTGAGAACAAGTGTCTTACCTAGCCAGAGCAGGAGGAAGAGAGAAGACAGAAAAAGTGTTACACAGTTTTAAACAACCAGATCTCATGAGAACTCGGTTACTGTAGTACCAAGGGGGTAATGGTGCGAAACCATTCATGAAAACCATTCACGAGAACTCTGCCCCCGTCATCCAATCACCTTTCACCAGCCCCCCTGCTCATATCAATTATATGGTTGGCTCTGTGTCCCCACCCAAATCTCATCAGGAATTGTAATCTCACCCAAATCGGGAGAGATCCATTATACGTAATTGAAGTCACAATTGATATACACAACTAAAGTCTTAGTAGAAAGAAGAGCTCCACAAAAAAGACAGTTTTTTGAACTGGGGTCTTGTGTCTTCTCTGGCCGTAACTGGAGGTGGGATTGATGGAAGAGGATCATGCGTGAGGCGTTACTGACAGCTTTGAAGTTTTACATGTGGGTATGGGAAGCGGTTAATTCAGCATGCCTGGCGATATAGTTTGCATCTGTGCCCCCACCCAAATCTCATGTCAAATCCCCAGGTGTACAAGGAGGGAACTGGTGGGAGGTGACTGGATCAGGGAGGCAGTTTCCCCCATGCTGTTCTCATGATAGTGAGTGAATGCTCATGAGATATGATTTTGTTTTCTTTTTTTTTTGTTTTTTGTTTTTGAGATGGAGTTTCACTATTGTTGCCCAGGCTGGAGTGCAATGGCATGATCTTGGCTCACTGCAACCTCCGCCTCCCGGGTTCAAGCAATTCTCCTGCCTCAGCCTCCCAAGTAGCTGGGATTACAGGCATGAGCCACTGTGCCTGGCTAATTTTGTATTTTTAGTAGAGACAGTGTTTCTCCATGTAAGTCAGGTTGGTCTTGAACTCCTGACCTCAGGTGACCCACCCGCCTCAGCCTCCCAAAGGGCTGGGATTGCAGGCATGGGCCACCACGTGCCGGCCGATCTCATGATTTTATAAGTGTTTAGCTATTCCCCCCTCACTCTCTGTCTCTCCTACCAGCTTGTGAAGAAGTGCTTGCTTCCCCTTTGACTTCTGCCATGACTGTAAGTTTCCTGAGACTTTCCCAGCTATGTGGAAGTGTGAGTTGATTCAACCTCTTTCCTTAATAAATTACTCAGTCTCAGGTACTCAGGTATTTCTTATAGCAGCAAGAAATACCTGAGTCTCAGGTACTCAGGTATTTCTTATAGCAGCATAAAAACAGACAAACACATTTGGTTCATAGATGTGTCAGTCCAACCTCTGTCTCCATCTTCTCCTTTGTGTGTTCTCTTTTTTTCTTACAAGGGCTCCAGTCATTGGATTTAGGGCCCACTCTATTCCAGTGCAACCTCATCTTAACGACGTCCACGAAGACTTTATTTCCAAATAAGTTTCCCTTCTGAGGTTCTGGTGGACATAAACTTTGCAGAGACATACTTCAGCCCACTGCAGAAGACTTTTAAAAAAAAGGGTGGGGGAGGGGGGCTGGGCACAGTGGCTCACGCCTGTAGTCCCAGCACTTTGGGAGGCCAAGGAGGGTGGATCATGAGATCAAGAGATCCAGACCATCCTAGCCTACATTGTGAAACCCCGTCTCTACTAAAAATACAAAAATTAGCCGGGCGTGGTGGTGCACACCTGTAGTCTCAGCTACTTGGGAGGCTGAGGCAGGAGCATCACTTGAACCCGGTAGGCAGAGGTTGCAGTGAGCCAAGATCATGCCACTTCACTGCAGCCTGGGCGACAGAGCAAGAATCCATCTCAAAAAATAAAATAAAATAATAAAAATAGAAAATTTAGCCAGGTGTGGTGGTAAGCATCTGCAGTCAGGCCTATTTGGGAGGCTGAGATGGGAGGATTGCTTCAGGCTGGGGGCCAAGCCTACAGTGAGCCATGATGGCCCCACTGCACTACAGCCTGGGCCACAGAGACCCCACCTCTAGAGAGAAAGAGAGAGAGAATCTCCTTCATTTCAGCAGCATTGATATTGGTGGATGCGACACTCCAGGTGAAATAGGTCCCATTCTTTTCCTCCTTCCACTTCACTGCAGCCTGGGCCACAGACTGAGACCCCATCTCTAAAAATAAAAATAAACAAATAACAAATAAATGAATAGGCTGGGCGTGGTGGCTCACACCTATAATCCCAGCACTTTGGGAGGCCGAGGCAGGCAGATCACCTGCGGTCAGAAGTTTAAGACCAGCCTGGCCAACATGGAAAAACCCCACCTCTACTAAAAAAATGCAAAAATTAGCCGGATGTAGTGACTGCGTGCCTGTTATCCCAGCTACTTGGGAGGCTGAGGCAGGAGGGTCACTTGAACCCAGGAGGCAGAGGTTGCAGTGAGTAGAGATTGCGCCACTGCACTCCAGCCTGGGTGACAGAGCAAGACTCTGTCTTAAAACAAACAATAAAATAAAATGAATAAAAAATAAGAAGAAATCATAGTGTGAGTATAACTATATGTAGCATCCCAGGAGACCTCCTAGCAGCCGTATCACAACACCTGAGGATTGCTCTTGGAGACCCCCACATAGGATGGTGCTAGAAAAAAACAGAAAGAAGCCCTCTGGGCTGCAGTCACTCTGGAGGTATTTATTTATTTGTTGACTTATTGTGTATTCATTCTTTTTTTTTTTTTTTTTTTTGAGACAGAGTCTCACTCTGTCGCCCAGGCTGGAGTGCAGTGGTGCGATCTTGGCTCACTGCAACCTCTGCCTCCTAGGTTCAAGCGATTCTCCTGCCTCAGCCTTCTGAATAGCTGGGATTACAGGCAAACGCCACCACGCCCAGCTAATTTTTTTGTATTTTAGTAGAGATGGGGTTTCACCTTGTTAGGCAGGATGGTCTCGATCTCCTGACCTTGTGATCAGCCCGACTTGGCCTCCCGAAGTGCTAGGATGACAGGCTTAAGCCACCGTGCCTGGCCTCCTTCTTATTTTTAGAGATGAGGTCTTACACTGTGTTATCCAGGCTTCAGTGCCATGGAAAGAGTTGGAGCAGGGACTGATTATACCCAGAGCATCACAACAGCCAATGTCAAGGGTGTGGTGTGGAGGCACAGGACGCGTCCTCTTCCACGGAGCCACAGATGTGAGGAGCTCTCACCCTCCTCCTTACCTCCTGGGGGCCTGGGACGTGATACCTGTAGACACGCTGGGGAGGTGTGAATTGTAAAAGGCCTACCACACTCAGGTGCCGACGCCCTTCGACTCATGAACCGATGCCTGCCCCCTTTGTCTGCCTCCTTTTCCCTCCCACTCTCCCATCACAGATGATCCTTGGCTGGCTTCCCCGTTTCCATGGTTACCGCCTCTGCCAGGGAGGCAGCCACAGGTGGTGGATGCTGTCAGAAAAGCTGCTCAAAAGTCATCGTCCAGAGCCAATACCCAGGGCATCCACGGTGTGAGGCCAACTGGGGACCCCAGGGAACCCCAGACTTGACCCCTGGAAGACATTCCAAATGGAAGACATGGAGCTGGCCAAGGAAGAAAGGTTTGGGACTGGGAGGTGGCTGGGGCATGTGAGAAACAGCTGGCTCCTGGTGTCATACAGGAGAATCATGAGTGTTTGTTTTGGGATGGTTTCTGTGTCCTGTTGTACCACCTGGGCTTGCCTGTCGTTGTCTCAAAGCATTTTTTTGCATGACGTGGTTTATCTGGGGAGCTCTGGACCTCTCAGGTGAACACACAGCCATCATCATGTCGAGTTTATTTTTTTGAGACGGAGTCTCGCTCTGTCACCCAGGCTGGAGTGCAGTGGCACGATCTTGGCTCACTGCAACCTCCGCCTCCTGGGTTCACGCCATTCTCCTGCCTCAGCCTTCCGAGTAGCTGGGACTATAGGCACCTGCCACCACGCCTGGCTAATTTTTTGTATTTTTAGTAGAGACGGGGTTTCACCACGTTAGCCAGGATGGTCTTGATCTCCTGATCTTGTGATCCACCCGCCTCGGCCTCCCAAAGGGCTGGGATGACAGGCGTGAGCCACTGCACCCGGCCATCATCTCGAGTTTCTGAGTGAAGAGTGCGCAGCATGGAGAGGCAAGGTGGTTGGTGGGAGGTGGCACATCCCCAAGGCAACAGAGCAGGGAGGAGATGGGCTGATGTATCCCACGCTGAGAGTGTCCCAGCCAAGGAGCTTGCAACAGGGGGTAGTGGAGAGACGGAGAGTGGTAGAAATGGAAAAATTCCTGGGGAGTAGGAAGTACAATTGCCAGTTTCAATGAGGTGTGAAGGAAAAGGGAGGAAAAAGGAAACGGCTCCCAGACAACACACTTGCAATCCTGGGGGAGGAAGCATGAATGTGTTTTGTTTTTGTTTTCATTTTTTTTTGTTTTGTTTTGCTTTTGTTTTGCGACAAGATCTTGCTCTGTCACCCAGGCTAGAGTGCAGTGGTGCAATCATAGCTCACTGCAGCCTCGATCTCCTAGCCTCAAGCGATCCTCCCACCTCAGCCTCCCAAGTAGCTGAGGCTACAGGCATGCACCACCACACCCAGCTAATTTTTGTATTTTAGTAGAGATGGGGTTTCACCATGTCTCGAACTCCTGAGCTGAGGAGATCCACCCGCATCAGCCTCCCAAAGTGCTGGGATTATAGGCATGAGCCGCCGCACCCAGCTGCATTTTTTTTTTTAAGAGATGGGTCTTGCTCTGTCACTCAGGCTGGAGTGCAGTGGTGCAATCATAGCTCACTGCAACCTCGACCTCCTAGCCTCAAGCGATCCTCCCACCTCAGCCTCCAGAGTAGCTGAGACCACAGGTGCACACACTGCCATACCTCACTACTTTTTCTTCTTTTGTAGAGACGGGATCTAATTGCGTTTCTTAATACACAACACACAACAGGGTAAAGCTCAACACTCCAAAGCATTTAGAGAGCTCACAAAATAATATCACGAGCAAGGAAGTACCCAGAAAATAACCTTGGACCTTAGCCAAGGAGAAATCTCTCTAGCATCCATGCCTTCAGATATCTGCCCCCAACCAGGCGAGGAACTGAGACAGCTTCCACTCTTTGGAAGGTCAGCTCTACCCGGATGGAAGCTGTAAGCTGGATTTTCTGTACCACAAGCTTCCCAGGACATGCCCATGGGCCAGAGCAGAAAAGTTGCCTGCAGTTTGGGACATTCAAGAACACTCTTTGTGGTGGGTTTCTTGGCTGTATGGCTGTTCCATTCCTAGACACACAGACAAGGGGAGAGATCAGTATACACTGGGCAGCTGGTTCACTGCCATCCCAAATTCCAGACCAGAACGTGCAGATGAGTCAGAAAGGGGGTCTTCTATCCATACGAAAGTTTGCAGTGGCAGCCGTGACCAATTTCACAACCTTCAAGGTAGCCGTGACCAATTTCACAACCTTCAAGTCAGACGTGGCAAATTTCACAACCTTCAAGGCAGCCGTGAGCAATTTCACAACCTTCAAGGCAGCCGTGAGCAATTTCGCAACCTTCAAGGCAGCCGTGAGCAATTTCGCAACCTTCAAGGCAGCCGTGAGCAATTTCGCAACCTTCAAGGCAGCCGTGAGCAATTTCGCAACCTTCAAGGCAGCCGTGAGCAATTTCGCAACCTTCAAGGCAGCCGTGACCACTTTCGCAACCTTCAAGGCAGCCGTGAGCAATTGCACAACCTTCAAGGCAGCCGTGAGCAATTGCACAACCTTCAAGGCAGCCGTGAGCAATTTCACAACCTTCAAGGCAGCCGTGAGCAATTTCACAACCTTCAAGGCAGCCGTGACCAATTTCACAACCTTCAAGGCAGCCGTGACCAATTTCACAACCTTCAAGGCAGCCGTGAGCAATTGCACAACCTTCAAGGCAGCCGTGAGCAATTTCACAACCTTCAAGGCAGCCGTGAGCAATTGCACAACCTTCAAGGCAGCCGTGAGCAATTGCACAACCTTCAAGGCAGCCGTGAGCAATTTCACAACCTTCAAGGCAGCCGTGAGCAATTTCACAACCTTCAAGGCAGCCGTGAGCAATTTCACAACCTTCAAGGCAGCCGTGAGCAATTGCACAACCTTCAAGGCAGCCGTGAGCAATTTCACAACCTTCAAGGCAGCCGTGAGCAATTTCACAACCTTCAAGGCAGCCGTGAGCAATTTCACAACCTTCAAGGCAGCCGTGAGCAATTGCACAACCTTCAAGGCAGCCGTGAGCAATTTCACAACCTTCAAGGCAGCCGTGAGCAATTTCACAACCTTCAAGGCAGCCGTGAGCAATTTCACAACCTTCAAGGCAGCCGTGAGCAATTGCACAACCTTCAAGGCAGCCGTGAGCAATTTCACAACCTTCAAGGCAGCCGTGACCAATTTCACAACCTTCAAGGCAGCCGTGACCAATTTCACAACCTTCAAGGCAGCCGTGAGCAATTGCACAACCTTCAAGGCAGCCGTGAGCAATTTCACAACCTTCAAGGCAGCCGTGAGCAATTTCACAACCTTCAAGGCAGCCGTGAGCAATTGCACAACCTTCAAGGCAGCCGTGAGCAATTTCACAACCTTCAAGGCAGCCGTGACCAATTTCACAACCTTCAAGGCAGCCGTGACCAATTTCACAACCTTCAAGGCAGCCGTGAGCAATTGCACAACCTTCAAGGCAGCCGTGAGCAATTGCACAACCTTCAAGGCAGCCGTGAGCAATTTCACAACCTTCAAGGCAGCCGTGAGCAATTGCACAACCTTCAAGGCAGCCGTGAGCAATTTCACAACCTTCAAGGCAGCCGTGACCAATTTCACAACCTTCAAGGCAGCCGTGACCAATTTCACAACCTTCAAGGCAGCCGTGAGCAATTGCACAACCTTCAAGGCAGCCGTGAGCAATTTCACAACCTTCAAGGCAGCCGTGAGCAATTTCACAACCTTCAAGGCAGCCGTGAGCAATTTCACAACCTTCAAGGCAGCCGTGGCAGATTTCACAACCTTCAGGGCAGCCGTGGCAGATTTCACAACCTTCAAGGCTTAAAATGGAAATGTATGCTCACATAATCCTGGATACCAGGAGTCTGAGATGAAGGTATGTTAGGGCTGGGCTCCCTCTGGAGTCTCTAGGGGAGGATCCTTCCTGCCTCTCCCAGCTCCCAGGGGCTCCCAGCATTCCTGGGCTCGTGGCTACACCACTCCAGTCTCTGTCTCCATGTGGCCTTCTCCTCTGTCTGGGTCTCCCCTTCTGTGTTTAGAAGGACACCTGTCCTTGCATTTAGGACCCCCTAATCTAGGACAGGTTTTATTTCAAGATCCTTCACTAATTACATTTGCAGAGATCCTGTTTCCAAGTAAGATTGCATTTATAGGTTCTGGGGAAAAGGAAATAAACATATATTTTGGGGATCACCATATAACCCATTCCAATTGTATCCAGTTCCTTCTGGAGGCTCTAGAGGAGGATCCTTCCTGCCTCTCCCAGCTCCTGGGGGCTCCAGGCATCCCTGGGCTTGTGGCCACATCACTGCAGTCTCTGCCTCTGTCTACACGTGGCCTTCTCCTCTGTGTCTGCGTCTCCTCTTCTGTCTCTTAGAACAGCTGTCATTGCATTTAGGGCCCTTCTTATATCTAGAATGAGGTTGGAACAATATTATGTGTTAACTTGACTGGATCATGGGGTGTTTAGATGTCTGATTGAATGTCACTCTGGGGTATCTGTGAGGGTGCTTCCCAGTGATGTTAGAAATTGAATTGGTAGCCTGAGAAAGGGAGATCATTTTCTCCAACATGGGATGGCCTTATCCAATCCATTCGCAGCCTCAAAAGAACAAAAAGAAGAAAAAGAGGCCGGGCACCATGGCTCACACCTGTGATCCCAGCACTTTGGGAGGCCAAGGTGGGTGAATCACGAGGTCAAGAGATTGAGACCATCCTGGCCAACATGGTGAAAGCCCATCTCTACTAAAAATACAAAAATTAGCTGGGCGTGGTGGCAGGCACCTGTAGTACCAGCTACTCGGGAGGCTGAGGCAGGAGAATTGCTTGAACCCGGGATGCAGAGGTTGCAGTGAGCCGAGATCGCACCACTGCACTCCAGCCTGAATGGCAAAGTGAGACTCCATCTCCAAAAAAAAAAAAAAAAAAAAAAAAAAAAGTCACTCATATTATCTCATTGCAAAAACCCTTCTATTTTTTAGCAATTTAGGAAAAAGTACAACATCAACGTAGGTAGCATACAATGTTTGAAATACTGCTACTCTGAGAACACTGAGAACCAACGAGCTAATGAATGCTGTCAATTCAAATGAGATTGAGATAAATGATCATGGGAAAAGAAACTGCAACGTCAAGAAATCTTTCAAATTTTATAGAAGAGAAAATTAATGAGCTTTTCCCCATAGTTGACATGGGTGCAGTAGCTCACGCCTGTAATCCTAGCACTGTGGGAGGCTGAGGGGGTAGATCACCTGAGGTCAGGAGTTCAAGACCAGGCTGAACCAACATGGAAAAACCCCTTCTCTACTAAAAATACAAAAAAAAATTAGCCGGACTTGATGGCAGGTTCCTGTAATCCCAGCTACTTGGGAGGCTGAGTCAGGAGAATGGCATGAACCCGGGAGGGCGGAGGTTGCAGCGAGCCGAGATCGCACCAGTGCACTCCAGCCTGGTGACAGAGCAAGACTCCATCTCAAACAAACAAACAAACAAAAAAACAAATTGGCTGGGTGCAGGGACCCACACCTGTAAGTAACCCCAGCACTTTGGGAGGCTGAGATGGCTGGATCACTTGAGGTCAGGAGTTCAAGACCAGACTGACCAACACAGAAAAACCCCATCGCTAGTAAAAATACAAAAAAAAAAATTAGCCGGATGTGCTGGCAGGGGCCTGTAGTCCCAGCTACTCAGGAGGCTGAGGCAGGAGAATCGCTTGCACCCAGGAGGCGGGGGTTGCAGTGAGCCGAGATCGCACCACTGCACTCTAGCCTGGCGACAGGGCAAGACTCCATCTCAAAAAAAAAACAAAAAACAAAAAACAGAAATTGGCTGGGTGCAGTACCCCACACCTGTAACCCCAGCACTTCGGGAGGCCGAGATGGCTGGATCACCTGAGGTCAGGAGTTCAAGACCAGACTGACCAACACGGAAAAACCCCATCTCTAGTAAAGATACAAAAAAAAAATTAGCCGGATGTGCTGGTAGGTGCCTGTAGTCCCAGCTACTCGGGAGGCTGAGGCAGGAGAATCACTTGCACCCGCGAGGCGGGGGTTGCAGTAAGCCGAGATTGCACCATTATACTCCAGCCTGGGCAAAACAGCAAGACTCCGTCTCAAAATAAATAAGAAATTACGATGCTCAATTATTTTTTTTTGAGACGGAGTCTTGCTCTGTTGCCCAGGCTGGAGTGCAGTGGTGTGATCTCGGCTCACTGCAACCTCCACCTCCTGGGTTCAAGCGATTCTCCTGCCTCAGCCTCCCACGTAGCTGGGATTACAGGTGTCCGCCACCACGCCTGGCTATTTTTTTTGTATTTTATTGTAGATATGGGGTTTCACTATGTTAACCAGGATGGTCTCGATCTCCTCACCCTGTGATCCGCCCGCCTCGGCCTCCCAAAGTGCTGGGATTACAGGCGTGAGCCACCGCGCCCGGCTCAAAGATACTTTTCTAAAGTCTGAAAAATAAATAAATGACAGTCAGCTGTGCTACAGGAAAGAATGAAATACCTTTCCCGTGCCTGTATGGATGAGACAAAAATCGCTGATCAAAGACCTTCCGGCTAGAAGTTGTAGGGGAAATAGGATTGGGTCTGACGGTGAATGCATAACAATGTTAGTTCTGTAAATCCTGTGATTTTGGAGGCTGCCCATCAGCTTTTCCAGATTTTGCAATTTGCTGTGATTTTATTCTAAACAAAAATTCTCTTTCATGTCTAAATGTGTATACGTAATTTTTTATTCTTTTATTTAAAAGACCCTCAAATGACCTAAGTATCTTGTCCCAGACACTATTGAACGTTTTCTGAGCACTGTGTTTCTAGAAAACAGTGAAGGGTAAGAAATCCCCCTACCTGGGCCAGGTGGGGTGGCTCATGCCTGTAATCCCACCATTGTGGGCGGCCGACATGGGCAGATCGCCTGAGGTCAGGAGTTCAAGACCAGCCAGGCCAACATGTTGAAACCCCATCTCTACTAAAAATACAGAAATTAGCTGGGTGTGGTGGTGCACGCTTGTAGTCCCAGCTACTCAGGAGGCTGAAGCAGAAGAATCACTTGAACCTGGGAGGTGGGCGTTTCAGTGAGCCAAGAATGTGCCATTTCACTCCAGGCTGGGTGACAGAGTGAGACTCCATCAAAGAAAGAAAGAGAGAGAGAGAAAGAGAGAGAAAGAAAGAGAGAGGAGAGAAAGAAGGGGGGAAGGAAGGAAAGAAGGAAGGAAAGAAGGAAGGAAAGAAGGAAGGAAGGAAGGAAGGAGAAGGGGAAGGAAGGAGGGAAGGAGGGAGGGAAGGAAGGAAGGAGGGAAGGAAGGAGGGAAGGAGGGAGGGAAGGAAGGAAGGAAGAAACCTCTGCCTCCTGGGTTCACGCCATTCTCCTGCCTCTCCCAAGTAGCTGGGACTACAGGCATGCACCACCACATCTGACTAATTTTTTGTTGTTGTATAGATGGGGTTTCACTGCATTAGCCAGGATAGTCTCAATCCCCCTTACCTTTTTGTATTCTGAGAAGTGACTTGCTGTAAACTCCTGCCTTTCTCTCATGACTTAGGAAAGATGCATGGCTGCCTTCCTCTTGATCTCCAGAGCAAGGCCAGACCAGACTCTCCAAATCCCTTCTTTTTATTTTCTTCTTAAATTTTTATTTATTTTTTATTTTTTTGAGACAGAGTTATGCTCTTGTTGCCCAGGCCGGAATGCAATAGCGTGATCTTGGTTCACTGCAACCTCTGCCTCCAGGGTTCAAGCAACTCTGTCTCAGCCTCCCGAGTAGCTGGGATTACAGGCATGCTCCACCAGGCCGAGCTAACATTGTAGTTTTAATAGAGACCGGGTTTCACCATATTGGCCAGGCTGGTCTTGAACTCCTGACCTCAGGTTATCCACCCGCATTGGCCTCCCAAAGTGCTGGGATTATAAGTGTGAGCCACAGTGCCTGGCCTCCAAATTCCTTCTTTCCTTTGTAAATGTCTAGCTGACCTGTTCATCCCCACAATCAATAGGAATAAAGTGCTTGTGGACCAAACTTGAAGTTTTCTCCTCCCCCACCCACCCCCAGCTCCTCTGAACACCCTCGTACGTTGGAACGTGGGACAGCCCCTCTTCAACAACCCCTCCTGAAAAATCAACAAACGACAAGGGGAAGTATTTCCTGATCAATTATTCTGACATGCCTCTCCCTATAAATGAAATTTGTTTCTGCCTGAGTCTTTGAGATGCTTACAAATCTTACAGTCAAGCAATCTCCCTACTGCAATTGTCTTTTCTTTTCTTTTATCGTTTTGTTGTTGTTTTGTTTTTGAGGCAGGGTCTCGCTCTGTTGCCCAGGCTAGAGTGCAGTGGTGCAATCTCGGCTCACTGCAAACTTCACCTCCCAGGTTCAAGTGATTCTCCAGCCTCAGCCTTTGGAGTAGCTGGGATTTTAGCTGTGTACTACCACGCCCGGCTATTTCTTTTTCTTTTTTTTTTTTTTTAAGTAGAGACAAGGTTTCACCATGTTGGCCAGGATAGTCTTGAACTCCTGACCTCAAGTGATCCACCGCAGCCTCCCAAAGTGCTGGGATTCCAGGCATGAGCCACCACACCCAGCCTGTAATTGTCTTTTCAAATCTCTTTCTTATCTAAATCCACATTTGTTTTTATTTTACTCCCCAGAAAACCAGCAAACACTCCTTCCTGGACGCCTATCCACTGAACACCAAAAGAGAAAAATATCCTTGTCTCTCTCTCTCTGTCTTGCTCTCTCTCTCTGACACACACACACACAGATACACAAAGAAACTAGGAGCTAGAAGGAGACCCCCTCAAGTCTAAATGAAATTATTTGCAAAGAGAGAACAGGACCAATTTCACTTCTAGCATCACAACTGCCAACATCAGTGGTGTGGAAATGAAGGGTGAGCTGTTTTTTTAATTTCTTTTTTTTGAAGGTAGGGTCTCACTGTGTTGTCCAGGCTAGAGTGAGGTGATGCAATCCTAGCTCACTGCAGTCTCAAACACCTAGGCTCAAGGGATTCTCCTACTTCAGCCGTCAGAGTAGCTGGGACTACAAGCACACACCACCACACCTGGATAATTTATTTTTATTTTTGTAGAGATGAGTGTCTTGCCATGTTGCCCAGGCTTCCAACGATCCTCCCAGCTTTAAGCAATGCTCCCACCATGGCCTTCCAAGGTGCTGGGACTACAGGCATGAAGCACTGAGCCCAGCCAACCTCTTTCATTTCCAGCAGTCACTGTGGGTCAGCTTATGAAGCAGTGTCTACCCCTTGAATCACCTTATCACAGAACAAACCTAAGAGTCATAGGAAAGGGAGGGCAGGATCCCTTTCTAGCAAATAAAGAAAGAGGAACTCAGAGAGATGAAACGACTTGACATCAGAGTGAAGACCTGGAGGAAAGAAAGTGAGCTTGGGGGTCTTGGGTTGACCCTTGGTGGGGGTGGTCTGCAGGGGAGAGGGGAAGCACCCTCAACAGTGAATGTCCCAATGTAAATGCTCCACGTGGAATCCCTGGCTCTGCAAAAGACATCTCCATCCACCAGCCCCACTTTCCACGCTACATTGACATGCTGCTGATGACAAGGTGATGATGACTGGTCACTATGGAAATAATAGAAGCTCACCCAACAGCGAGCAAGAAGAAACGATTTATCCAGGGCTTGCTATACCAAGGGAGGCAGCCACCGTCCCTTGCATTTAGCAAAAATGTAAAAGCAGGAACCCCAGATAGGAGAATCAGGAAGACTGCAGGCATGCCCTAATTAGAGGCTGTCCACATTCTAAAGCTGTAGGAGGCTCATGAGAAGTGGGGCACCCCTGGGATTGGTTAGGACGGTGTCTCTTCAGCTTTCTAATTTTTTTTTTTTTTTTTTGAGACAGAGTCTCGCTCTGTCACCCAGGCTGGAGTGCAGTGGCATGATCTCTGCTCACTGCAAGCTCCGCCTCCCGGGTTCATGCCATTCTCCTGCCTCAGCCTCCCAAGTAGCTGGGACTACAGGCACCTGCCACCATGCCAGTTTACTTTTTTTTTGTATTTTTAGTGGAGATGGGGTTTCACCATGTTAGCCAGGATGGTCTCAATCTCCTAACCTCGTGATCTGCCCGCCTCGGCCTCCCAAAGTGCTGGGATTACAGGTGTGAGCCACCACGGCCAGCCATCTAATTTTAAATCAGGGGCAAACATTAGGAAATCTGGTGGTTATGAATCAAATCTTGTTTAGGGCCCATGGTGCCTGAAGATATTGTTTGCCTTCCTGGACTGTTTGCTGGAGATAGTAATCTGACATCCTGCATGTCTGACTTGTACACAGCAGGTGACTTCCTGCGCTGGTTACAGTGGATAAGGGGTTGGTTTTCTTGGCAGGTTGTGGGTCAGAGTTTTATCTATGTAGATGGCCAGACCATTATCTGCTTGTATACTCACTCTCACATGACCATATATATGTATTCATGCTTGTTAAACATGTTTTAAACTTTTTTATGTATTTATTTATTTTAAGACAGATTGCATTTATTTATTTATTTATTTATTTTAAGACAGAGTCTCACTCTGTCTCCAAGGCTGGAGTGCAGTGGCGAGATCTCAGCTCACTGCAACCTCCGCCTCCCGGGTTCAAGGGATTCTCCTGCCTCAGCCTCCCAAGTAGCTGGGACTACAGTTGCCCACCACCAGGCTCAGCTAATTTTTGTATTTTTAGTAGAGACAGGGTTTCTCTATGTTGGCCAGGCTGGTCTTGAACTCCTGACCTCAGGTGAGCCGCCTGCCTCGGCCGCCCAAAATGCTGGGATTACAGGCGTGAGCCACCACACCCGGCCACTTTAAATCTTTTTGTTTGTTTGTTTTGTTTTGAGAGAGAGTTTTGCTCTTGTTGCCCAGGCTAGAGTGCAATGGCACGATCTTGGCTCACTGCCACCTCTGCCCTCTGGGTTCAAGTGATTCTCGTACCTCAGCCTTCCAAGTAGCTGGAATTACAGGCATGTGCCACCACGCCCAGCTAATTTTTTTGTATTTTTAGTAGAGACGGGGTTTCTCCATGTTGGCCAGGCTGGTCTTAAACTCCTGACCTCAGGTGATCCACCTGCCTCAGCCACCCAAAATGCTGGGATTACAGGCATAAGCTACCGTGCCCAGCCACTTAAAACCTTTTTAAATGTTATCTGGGCAATGCATTCACCAATATAGTATCATTGGAAAGGCGAGAATGACAGGATCACTAGAACGAATTATGCCTCTCCGCTTCACACCCTGTTTCAATTGTCCTCCATTCTCCTGGGAACCCCTGTTAATAGTTTTTGGTTCATTCTACCTGCCAGTTATCTCAATATTTTAAGGAATGCCGCTATTTTTTTTCCTAGTAGAATCATAAAATAAAGGGTTGTACCACTTGCCTTTTCCCCCTTAATGATTTGTCCTGGGGGATACTTCTGGGTTGGTTCCTCTTTGATTTTCTGCACAGCCTGCGTTGCATTGTGGACCAGAGCTCATTTCACCTGCGGGAGCATCTGTTTCTTTTTTGACATCTATGGAGAGGGAATCCACTATTGTCTGGATGCTGGTGGGAGGCCAGGCTTTGCTCCTTGTTAGACAGACCCAAAGAGACAGATACTTGTCTTCGTTGCATTGCCGTCAAGATGTGAAGTGATGATTTATGCCTGACCTCAAAGATGTCTTATCAGGGACCTTCAAAATTCTGAGGGAAGGATGTAACAAAACAAAAAAAGTTCAGTAGTTATTCGTGATGGAAGCAAGAATGCTTCAACAGAGTCTGGGGTCTACAGGTAATTCAACAAAGCTGTGTCCTAAGCAGGCTGTGTATAACTGGGGCATGGCAGGTATACACATGGACTTCTTATCCACCAGCCTTCATGGGGTTCTACTTATAATTCCCTAATCTTCTCATCCTTTATCTGACCTGCCCGATATCTATTAAATTTCTTCAATCAACTAGAGTCTGTTTCTCTTGCTGGCAACCAACAACTGTACATAACCCTTAACCATCAACCTATAAATTGATTCCAACTCATTCCCAGTGTTTTGCAAATAAATACCTTTTTGCAGCCAATTCCCTTTACACAGTCTTTGTGCACCTGCGACCTGCAGGCTACACTCCTACACATTGAATTGCTGGTTCAATGGATGGGTACTTTTTTAATCTCTCCAAATAATGTGTAAATGGGCCATCTAGAGTTGATGTTACCAGTTTCCACCCTTAACAGAGAATCCTTTTGCCCGATACCCTGAAACGTGTCAGTATTGTCCATTTTCTTTGTATGTTTGCCAAATGTATGGACAATTATGGCCTCTTTTTTTTTAATGTTGTATTTCTTTCCTTATCTGGCATGTTGATTATCTTTTCACAAAAGCACTTACCATTTGTAATTATTTGGTACGGTGTACATTGCTGAGGTCAGGTGTATAGGGAAATGCTATTTCTTAGTGAAGGATGAAAAAAAGTTTTTATTTTAAAGAGGAAAAAAAAAAGCTGCCATGTGGGAGACCTGAGAAGCCTCCTGAGATGTCAGACATTGGGGGTTTCATTGACAGTTTCAGCCACTGCTCTGAAACCCACTGGAACACCGGCCACAGAGACCACATGTGCACGGCTGCCCCAACACCCCAGGACTGACTCTGCAGGGATACTGAGGCAGACCCATCCCTGGGAGAAGCAGCAGCAGCACTCCTAACTTTGGATCCAAGATTCCTGGCGGCCGTGCCAACAAGCTATGCAAACAGCATTGCAGCCTTAGTTCTCTCTCTCGTCTCCTTCACTTCCTGCGGCATGGTTAGAGCTGCAGCAGTCAGATGTGCAGTGAGATGAGCACTGCGTGGGGTCTGGTCAGAGCTGCAGGATGGTCAAAGCTGAAGCAAGATCAGATGTAAGGTCTGCACAGAGCTGCAGGATGGTTACAGCTGAAGTGTAGTCGGATCTACAGTAGGGTCAGAGCTGTGGCACAATCAGACCTGCACTATGGTCAGAGCTGAGATATGGTCAGAGTTGCGGTATGATCACAGCTGCAGTACAGTCAGAGCTGAGATACGCTCAAAGCTGTGCTATGCTCAGAGCTGTGGTATGATTAGAGCTCCAGGATAGCGAGATCTACAGCATAGTGAGAGCTACGGTAGAGTCAGAGCTGTGCTATGGCCAGATCTGTGCTATGGTCAGAGCTGAGGTATGGTCACAGTTGCGGTATAGTCAGAGCTGTGCTATGCTGAGAGCTGCCGTACAGTCAGAGCTGCGGTATGATTGGAGCTGTGCTGTGGCAGGAGCTGCAATATGGTCTCAGCTGCAGTATAGTCCAATCTACAGTAAAGTCAGAGCTGGGGTATAGTCAGAGCTGTGCTGTGGTCGGAGCCGTGGTATGGTCAGAGCTGCAGTATGGAGTTTGAGGCTGCAGTGAGCTACGATTGCACCACTGTACTCCAGCCTGAGCAATAGAGCAGGACCCCCTCTCAAAATAATGATAAGATTAATAATAATAGTTCAGTTTTGCAATTTTTTTCTAACAAATGTAAAATAGTACTAATTCATAACGACTCTAACCCATCAGTCTCTCCTGTTGCTAGCCAAGTTCAGCTGCCAACTTCAGTGTCCAGCTATGTAGCAAATGCCACCTATACTGAGAGGGCTCAGTAGAGCATGAGGACTTTGAGAGCTTTCTGAGATAAATCAAACCGAAGAGTCACAGCTCTGAGTGTGTATTCAACCACCTAAATTTAATTCAACATAAGCAGATGGTTTGTAAGTGCTATGGTTAGAATATGGTTTGCCCTTACCAAAAGTCATGTTGAGGCTGGGTCCCCAATGTAAGAGTGTTTAGATGAGGCTCTGCCCTCGTGAATGGATTAATCCCTTCATGAATTAATCAATTAATGAGTTATCTAAGGTGTGGGTTAGTTATCAGAAGAGCAGGTCTGTGATCAAAAGCCAGGTTGTTTTTCTCGGAGGCCTGCCCCATCTCAAAACTCTCCAGAGAGAGTCCCCACTAGCAAGAAGGTCCTCACCAGATGCAGCTCCTCATTGTTGGACTTCCCAGCCTCCAGAACTGTCATAAGTATATTTCTTTTCGTTACAAATTACCGAGTCTTAGGTATTCGGTCATAGCAACAAAAAACAGACTAAGATAGTGAGTGTTCCAGTATGCCACGGTGAGTTTCATTTTACATCCTCTATCATGCTTCTGCTAGATGGCCTGATTTGTCTATAGGTGAGTTTCATTTTACATCCATTATTTCCTGCTTCTGCTAGAGGGCCTGATTTGTCTATAGGTGAGTTTCATTTTTACATCCATTCTTTCATGCTTCTGCTAGATGGCCTGATTTGTCTATAGGTGAGTTTCATTTTACATCCATTCTTTCCTGTTTCTGCTAGAGGGTCTGATTTGTCTATAGGTGAGTTTCATTTTTACATCCATTCTTTCATGCTTCTGCTAGAGGGCCTGATTTGTCTATAGGTGAGTTTCATTTTACATCCATTATTTCATGCTTCTGCTAGAGGGTCTGATTTGTCTATAGGTGAGTTTCATTTTACATCCATTCTTTCATGCTTCTGCTAGATGGCCTGATTTGTCTATAACCATCAGCTCTTTTAAGATGGCCCTGAATTTCTTTTAGAATTTTAAGGTAATGAATGCCCCTGGGAAGGTTTAAAAACTCACAAATCATGTCAAAATCGGTTTCAATCAAATACCAACCCTTTACTTCAGAATTTATCTGAGCTTCTGTTAGAATACAAGCCATCCAGGGAAGGAGGAAGGATCTTAGGTTTTTACCAACAGTGACCTTGGGCAAAGATTTCTTCCCTTTTCAAGTTTCTCCTAAGTTTAGTGGGGATGTGCATGAAGAGTGAGATGATCTCTGTAGAAGATTCTGCCCACTACCACCTTCTTTGCCATAGGAGGATTTTTGTCATCAGTCACTCCCTCTTTTCACCGAATTTCCAGCATTCTTTTCAAAATAGTCCTCCAGACCCCGGTGTGCTAAGTCCACCCCGGGTAGAAATTCCCTAGCAAGCCACAGATATGTCACAAATGCTATGGACGAGAGTGCTCCCAGGTACCTGATTGACAGTATCTGCAAATGGGAAACTTCTGAAATGCCCATCAGCAGCAGAGTGGATCAATAAGTCTCGATGTGTTGACCCAAGAAAATGCTAAACGTCGTTGACAATGAAACAGCTATATTGACACGCCATGACATGGATGAATCTCACAAACATCATCTTAGGCAGAAAAGGCTGAATTATACCCTGAACCCCCAAAATCACCTACTCTATATGATGTATTTGCATGAAGTATGAAAATGTTCAAAACTACCAGCAGCGTTAGAAGACCGTGATGGCAGCAGAGGGATGGTGACTGTCAGCAGGCGTGTGTGGAGCTCTCCAGGGAGCTGCTAGTGGTGAGTCACCATCTGGATCTCAGTCTGTTTATGGGTAGTTTCATTTGGGGAAATAACCTGGGCATGCTCTTTTGATCTAAGAATGCTTTCCATCTATGCTGTGCATTGATACGTTATAAAAGAGCCCTCCACGCATTCCTTACCTATGAATTTTTTTTTTTTTTTTTTTGAGATGGAGTCTTGCTCTGTTTCCCAGGCTGGAGTGCAGTGGTGCAATCTTAGCTCACTGCAAGCTCTGCCTTCCCCGGTTCACGCCATTCTCCTGTCTCAGCCTCCTGAGTAGCTGGGACTACAGGCTCCCACCACCATGCCCAGCTAATTTTTGTATTTTTAGTAGAGACGGGGTTTCACCGTGTTAGCAAGGATGGTCTCGATCTCCTGACCTCGTGATCCGCCTGCCTCGGCCTCCCAAAGTACTGGGATTACAGGCATGAGCCACCGCACCCGGCCAACCAATGAATCTTAATTCCCTCGCGTGATAAACTAAGGACAAGCACCAGCAAGGAAAAGATAAGCTTTAGTGCACAATTAAGCGAATTAAAACAGAGACCGCCAGCCCTGCCAGCAACACTCGCAGACACAGTAATAATGCCTGTGATTTCTTCATGTTTTCCCAAGAAGAAAGCTCACCAAAGCATAGTTACATCCAGTGCCTGTGGTTGGTAGATGCTGCATTCGGTACCGGATCCCCTTGGGAAAAAAACAACAACAACAGATGAACTGGGCTTACAGGCAGCAGAACAAAGACGGATGAAGGATAGAAACTCATTCTTCTCCCTGTTCTTCCCACTTACCCAGTGCTTAACGCCAAAGTCTGCTTTCTGAGCTTCTAGTTTCTCTCTTTAAGTCTCAAAAGTAGACTATGTGACTCTTGTGTCATGAGTATGTCTAACTAGTCTTTGGAGTAAAACCAAAACAAATCTAGCATTTCAGTTGATTAATTCTGTATTCTTATGTAGGATATTATTTTAACACAATGTTGGGAATTTCCCTCTTCCCCACCCCAAAATGCTGCAGGACAAGTCATTCCCCAATGTAGGTGGTATGACTACATTTATACTTGTCACATATTTCAATGTGTTACATTTGCCTGAAATCATAATTAAAACACGATTCGGAACTAAATTTGGGGCTTGCATCTGCTATGACCTTACCATTTGCCTAAGCCCAAATTCTTCCTCGGCAGCACAAAATTGACACTTTTCTGAAACTCAGGTTGTTCCCTGACACGGGAGAACAGCCTGCCTGCTGAAATTAAGGGGTGACACTTGGACTGCAGCCTGGCTGTCTGAGACCTTCAGGAGCAGAGAAGAGAAGCATAGCTGCACGGCAGGGTGAGGCGATGTCAACAGAGGCACGTTGCTCCCCTGACAAATGCAATGAACCTCCAAATCTGACATTTCCAGAAGGTAAACAAACTTAGCTGAGCTGTCTGCGTTCCCTGGAGCAGCTCTGAAGGTCTTTGCTGCCTGCTTTGAAGATGGTGACTCAGTGCTTCCTACAATGAAATTTATTCCAAGGGCTGCAAAGGCACAGTTGAAAAGCCGACCCTACCATCAGCATCAAAGCTACCTCAGGAAACAACAGGGCTGATGGCACCTCAGCTACATGTGTGTCTAATTACTATCAAAGAATCAGAATCAAGATAACCAGGAACCCAGTCCATCCTCACCCTGCTTGCTTCCTGTGGGCAGAAGCCTGGTGATTACAAGCTCTCAGCCACACTGACTGAAGCTGCAAACCCAGAACTGTCATAAACTTTTCCAGGCATGCACAGCTAGTCCTGAAACCCTCTAGGTCTCAGTTGGTGCACCTGTAACTTCAGATAATAATGGTGTAACCATGATGAGAAGGCTGTAAAATTAAACGAGGCAACGCACATAAAGGAAGCTCTTGGGATAGCCCCTTAGACACTGCAAGAGCTGGGTAAATGTCAACTATCACTGTTATGATTTTAGTTATTAACAAGAGTAAGCTCTGCCTCCAGTTCCCCAAGGTACCCTGAGCTGTAAAATCCAGGAGGCTCCAAATCCAGGAGGCTCCTACATCTGGATGATATGGATGAATCTCACAAACATCATATTGGGCAGAAAAAGCCGAATTATACCTTCAGCCCACAAAAGGAATCAACGACTGAGACTTTTGCTGAACAAAACTGGGGTAGGCAACATTTGGGACTGTCCTTACCACGTCTCAACCTGTATTCCATGGCCTCCCTTTTCCCTAGCTCCTGAAACGTCAGGTCCTGCCACTGGGAACTGTTGCCATGGTGCCCCAACAAAGTCTGCCCCCATGTGGTTGGCCCTAGGAACATTTTTCTTCTACCAGTCATGTCTTCTCAACCTGCCATCGGAAAGTATTCAACACCGGCTGAGTGCGATGGCCCACACCTGTAATCCCAGCAATCTGGGAGGCCAAGGTGGGAGGATTGCTTGAGGTCAGGAGTTCAAGGCCAGCCTGGGCAACATCACTGTGTTGCTCAGGCTGGAGTGCAGTGGGTGCAATCATGGCTCCCTGTAGCCTCAAACTCCTAGGCTCAAACAATCCTCCCACCTCAGCCTTCAAAGTAGCTGGGACTACAAGTGTGCACCATTACACCTGGCTATTTTTTATTTTTTTTGTACAGATGAAGATCTCAGCATTACAATATCAGCCAGCTGTGGTGGCACAGAGCTGTGGTTCCAGCTACTCAGAAGGCTGAGTTGAGGGGATATCTTGAGCCCAGGAGTTCAAGGGGGCTGTGAGCTATGTGATTGCCACTGCGCTTCAGCATGGGCAGCAGAGGAAGACTCTGTCTCAAAGAAAAAACAAAAAGGTATCCATCACTGAGGTCTCAACACCACAAGTATACAAGCATCTTGTTGTGAGCTGATTAATTTGATTCCTCCAAATAAGACCATTTTCAAATCATGTAGTGAGACCTGGATCTCTCCATGGGATACCTTTAACAGGGAATTTTTAGGACGCTCAAGTTTCAGCAGTATTCAGCTCTGATCTTTAACCTTACTAGACTAAAATGTGGTCACCCCTACAGCACAGCCAGGGAACATGTCCTGGAAAATGTCTTCATTGGGTCATTTTCCTTCATCTGTCCACTCTGTGTCTAGACCTCCCTGAACACATTGCTTGGGAAACAAGCAAAATTAAGCTGCTGCCTCTTTATATGAATGCTCTTGTACAAGTGCCAAATGATTTGTTAAGTCCTTGCACCAAGGAATACAAGGTAGAAAATGCTCGTGGAACTAAGGGTCTATATTATTAGCTAGTGTTTTTTGCACAAAGCAGCGTTTTCATTCTATTAACACACAGCTCAACAAAGTAATTCGATGAAAAGTAAATTGTCAATATGTGTATTAGTCAGGACAGACCAGGTGATGCTGCTATAACAAACAATCCCAGAATCTCAGCAGCTAACATCACCAAAGTCTGTTTCTCACCCATACCACCTGCTCACCAATGGGGGCTTCACTATTTGTCATCTTAAGACTAGGACCCAGGGGGATAAAGCAGCCCTGTTCTGGAATACTTCCACTCTCAGGGAGGGAGAGAGAGAACAAAAGATGTTCTCCAAATAGGAACGCTTTTACACTGTTGAGTGTAAATTAGTTCAACCATTGTGGAAGACAGTGGGGCAATTCTTCAAGGATCTAGAACCAGAAATGCCATTTGACCCAGCAATCCCATTACTGCGCAAATACCCAAAGTATTGTAAATCATTCTGCCATAAAGACACATGCACACGTATGTTTATTGCAGCACTATTTACAATAGCAAAAACAGTGAACCAACCCAAATGCCCATCAATGATAGACTGGATAAAGAAAATGTGGCACATATATACTATGAATTACTAAGCAGCCATAAAAAAGAATGAGTTCATGTCCTTTGCAAGGACATGGATGAAGCTGGAAGCCATCATTCTCAGCAAACTAACACAGACACAGAAAACCAAACACCACATGTTCTCACTCATAAGTAGGAGTTGAACAATGAGATCACATGGACACAGGGAGGGGAACATCATACACCAGGGCCTGTCAGGGGGTTGAGGGTGAGGGGAGGGAGAACATTAGGACAAATACCTAACGCACGTGGGGCTTAAAACCTAGATGATGGGTTGATAGGTGCAGGAAACCATCATGGCACATGTACACCAGTATAACAAACCTGCACGTTCTGCAGATGTATCCCAGAACTTAAAGTAAAATAAATATTTTCAAAAAATTATGTTCTCCAAGGGCAACCACGACCCAGGCTTCTGGGAGGAAGTGACACACCTCACTTCTGCTCAAATTCACAGTCCTTGGTGGTGTCTGAATTTAGTGGCATGGAAAAGTGTGATTCTCTGAAGCCAGGGGCACCTATATTTGTAAGCGATGAAAAAATTCTACTGTAAGAAGAAAATAAAAAATGGTTCGTACTTTACTACTCACCTGTATTCTGCTAACAGGAGGGGAAAAGTTGAAGCTTTTGAGATACATCACCAGAAAAAAAAAAAAAAAAAGCCATCAGAAAATAATACGTTCTTGATCCAGAAATTTCAAAGGCAGTTTTCTGCCAAGAGAGGGCTATGAAAATGCATCACTGGCTTTTATGGGGTTTGCAGGAATAAAAACATTCCCTTCTGTATATGACACAAAATCAAAGGTAATTGACGTGTTTCTAAAAAATTCCCCGTTTTACTTCTGTAACAAAAAAGAACAATAATAGCTAAGCTGAACAGATGTCAGTAGAACCTATTTTCCCAAGCTAACGACAAAACATCCCTCCTCAAAATCCCAGCCACTACAAACTGTTAAAGCTGCATATCTTACTGCTCTTATATTTAAGATGTCAGGAGGATGTGAATTTTTAATTAAGCCAGTCTTGTGAAAAGGCCTCACACATTATATATGGTTGGTTGCAAAATGGATCTTCGCACAAAGACAAGTGCTTGGGAATGATGTGTTTCATTTAGGAGATAGATCAGCAGGGATACTACAAATTTGCACTCTGAATCTTCCTTCCAATAGAAATCTCCCAATAGAAATAGGGTTTTGAGGAGTATATTACTTGGCTAAAGCCTCCATAACAAATCACCACAGACTGGGTGACTTAAACAATATATACTTATTTCCCACAGTCCTGGAGGCTAGAAATCTGAGATCAAGGTGTGGGCAGGGCTGGTTCCTCCTGAGGCGTCTCTCCTGGGGTTGTAGACACTGTCTTCTCCCTGTGTTCTCACAGGGTCGTCCCTCTGTGTGCGTCTGAATCTTCATCTCCTCTGCTTATGGGATGTCTTAGTCCATTTCAGGCTGCTAGCACAGAATACCATAGACTTAGTGGCTTATAAACAACAGACATTGATTCTCCCAAGTCTTGGAGGCTGGAAGTCCCAGATCCAGGTGAGGGCAGGGCTGGTTCCTCCTGAGGCCTCTCTCCTGGGCTTGGAGACACTGTCTTCTCCCTGTGTCCTCACAGGGTCATCCCTGTGTGTGTGTCTGTGTCCTCGTCTCTTCTTCTTATGGGATGTCTTAGTCCATTTCAGGCTGCTATCACAGAATATCATAGACTCGGTGGCTTATAAACAACAGACATTGATTCTCCCACAGTCCTAGAGGCTGGAAGTCTGAGATCCAGGTGTGGGCAGGGCTGGTTCCTCCTGAGGCCTCTCTCCTGGGCTTGGAGACACTGTCTTCTCCCTGTGTCCTCACAGGGTCATCCCTCTGTGTGTGTTTGTGTCCTCATCTCCTTTTCTTGTAAAGATACCATAGCTATAGGAGCAGGGCTCACCCTAATAACCTCATTGTGCCTTAATCACCTCTTTAAAGACCCCATCTCCAAACACAGTCACAGTCTGAAGTCCTGGGGATCAAGACTTCCATGTATAAAATTGGAGACGGACACAATTTGGCCCATAACAGGCAGTTGGCAACCCCAGGAGCCCAGAATAAGAGCTGTTGCTCCAGGAAACCTGTAAAACCCATCCGACATGTCTCTGCTCCTACAGTCTCGCTTTTGTCAGTCAGTCACCCCTCCAGCCCCGATCTCTCCCCCAGTGTCTGGTGTCTTTAGGAAGAGAGTTAACAGAGGACCGAAGTGTGAGCACTTGTTTCCGAAGAGTCTGTTGTCTGGAATATTTATGTGGTCAGAAGGGAGAAGTGATTTTTACAAGAGAGAAAGACAAGCCATCCCCGAGGTTTGGAGAGGATGACGGAACGATTGATGTGAAATGCCTGGTAGACTTTCAATCATGTCATTTCCAAGCACATCTCCCAAATCTCCAAATGAGCATATGTGTCAGGCTTTTGAGGAGTATATTAGTTGGCTAAGGCCGCCATTACAAAGGACCACAGACCAGGTCGTTTAAACAATAGGTATTTATTTCCCAGAGTTCTGGAGGCTGGAAGTCTGAGATCAAGGCATTGCAGGGCTGCTTCCTCCTGCAGCCTCTCTCCTTGGCTTGTAGATGCCATCTTCTCCCTGAGAACTCACAGGGTCTTCCATCTGTGTGTGTCTGTGTCCTCCTCTCCTCATTTCAGCCCTACATGAAAAGGTAGCTATGAGTATGGGGCCCTGTCTTAGTCCATTTTATGTTGCCAGAAAGGAACACCTGAGGCTGGGTATTTTATAAAGTAGTTCATTTGGCTCACAGTTCTGTAGGCTGTACAAGAAGCTTAGCACCAGCATCTTCTTCTCAAGAAGGATCTTGAGGACCTCAAGGAGCTTCCACTCATGACGGAAGGCAGAGGGGAGCCAGTGTGTAGAGATCACACAGAGACACAGGAAGAAAGAGAGACGGGTTGGAGGTGCCAGACTCTTCTGACAAGCATTTCTTGAGGGAATTGATAGAGTGAGAACTCACTCAGCCCTGAGGGAGGGCATTAATCTATTCAGGAGGGAACCACCCTCAGGACCCAAACATCTCCCACTACCCCCACCTCCAACACTGGAGATCAAATTTCAACATGACATTTGGTGGGAACAAATAACCCATATCCAAACTACGGTAACTCCCAAAGGTTAGCAGTTTCACGGATACATATTGAACTTTTTCCCAAAGCCGTTGCCTTCCTTGAACATCAGCTGAGCAAAGGGTAATCTCCCAAATTCACAAGATCAACATAGCTCTTGGTCAGTCTCTGATAAAACAGAATTATCTCCTCTGTGATGAATTACTGGCTCTGTACAGATAATTTCACCCCAAAATATGGCTCCTTTGCAAAACGAATATTTTAAATTAAAAACCCTTAAAGATTAAAAGACCTTGGAAGGGACTTTTCCCCATTGACATAAAAACCAGAGACATCCACCAAGTAAAACATTTTTTTTTTCCGTTCTGTATTAGTCTGTTCTCACGCTGCTAATGAAGACATATCCAAGACTAGGTAATGTATAAAGGAAACAGGTTTAATGGACTCACAGTTCCACATGGCTGGGGAAGACTCACAATCATGGCGGAAGGCAAAGGAGGAGAAAAAGCACATCTTCCATGGCGGCAGGCAAGAGGGCATGTGCAGCGGAACCTGGCTTTATAAAACCATCAGATCCTGTGAGACTTAATCACTATCATAAGAACAACACAGGAAGCACCTGCCCCCCATCATTCAATGACCTCCCACAGGGTCCCTCCCTGAACATGTCGGGATTATTACAATTCACTTTCCCTCCCTCCCTGGGATCTTCTTCTTGACTACAGGAAAGAACGTTAAGATGTAAGCCCGCTCAAACAGACTTTTTTACAAAGTAATGACTGGTCTCCAAGGAGTATTTAATTTCCAAAGGGAACCATTAATAAGTCAATCTCTGTTTCCTCCCCCTATTCATTCTCCCAAGTATCCATTCAATCTTCCTAGTCATCACTTATTACCACTCAACAGAATTACCTACATTCCCATGTCCCCTCTCGCCACCTGAAAGGAGGTTACAGAAGTATTTTGCCCCCATTGGGAGATTGAGTATACACTCTGTGATTCTCTTCATGCTCACAGTTTAAAAAAAAAAAAAATTGTATGTCTTTTCTCTGATTAATCTTCCTCATGATGAGTTGATTTGCAGTAAGCCCCACAAGGGCAAAGGACAAGATTTCCCTTGGGAAGCCAAAATAGCTGCTAGGCGACAAACTGTCAGGGAAGGAAGTGTGTGCTGAGAGCAAGCATCCGTTTCTTTCACCATGCATCTTCCAGATGGCCAAGGGCAGCTCTGAAAATACTTGTGAAGAAAAGAACACAACAATGAAGCTGGGATAGAGAGGCACCTGCCTGGAAACTTAATAAGCATGATGTTTGTTGGGTGTTTCCTTACCATGGTGGGCTAGATAGGGTCCTGAAAACAGTATGTTCATGCCGTAATCCCTGGAACGTAGTGTCAGAGGCGTTGGGACCAGAGTGAATGTATCTTGAATACAGAGCTGGGTAAAATGAGGCTGAGACGTACTGGGCTGCATTCCCAGGAGGTTAGGCATTGTAAGTCACAGGATGAGATAGGAGGTCGGCACAAGATACAGGCCATAAAGACCCTGCTGATTAAACAGGTTGTAGTAAAGAAGCCGGACAAATCCCACCAAATCCAAGATGGCAAAGAGAGCAACCTCTGGTCATCCTCACTGCTCTTTATACACTAATTATAACGTGTTAGCATGCTCAAAGACACTCCCACCAGCGCCAGGACAGTTTACAAATGCCATGGCCATGACTCAAAGTTACCCTGTATGGTCTAAAAGGGGGAGGAACCCTTCACTCTGGGAAATCTCCTCCACTGTGCAGAAAAACTCATCAATAATCCACCTTGTTTACCATACCATCAAGAAACAACCACAAAAATATCCAACCAGCAGCCCTCAGGGCTGCTCTGCGATGGAGTAGCTATTCTTTATTTCTTTACTTACTTTTTCTTTTTTGAGATGGAGATTCACTCTTGTTGCCCAGGCTGGAGTGCAGTGGCGCCATCTTGGCTCACTGCAACCTCCACCTGCTGGATTCAAGCAATTCTCCTGCCTCAGCCTCCCAAGTAGCTGGGATTTGCAGGCATGTGCCACCACACCCGGCTGATTTTGTATTTTTAATAGAGACAGGGTTTCACCATGTTGGTCAGGCTGGTCTCGAACTCTTGGCCTCAAGTGATCTACCCGCCTTGGCCTCCCAAAGTGTTAGGATTACAGGCATGAGCCACTGCGCCCAGCCTATTCCTTTACTTTCTTAAGAAACTTGCTTTCACTCTAGTCTAGGGACTTGCCCCAAATTCTTTCTTGCCTGAGGTCCAAGAACCCTCTCTTGGGGTCTGGAGAGGGACCCTTTTTTTTTTTTCTTTTTCTTCTTTTTTGAGACGGAATCTTGTTCTGTCACCCAAGGCTGGAGTGCAGTGGCGTGATCTCGGCTCACTGCAAGCTCTGTCTCCTGGGTTCACACCATTCTCCTGCCTCAGCCTCCGGAGTAGCTGGGACCACAGGTGCCCACCACCATGCCCGGCTAATTCTTTGTATTTTTAGTAAAGACGGGGTTTCACCGTGTTAGCCAGGATGGTCTCGATGTCCTGACCTTGTGATCTGCCTGCCTCAGCCTCCCATAGTGCTGGGATGACAGGCGTGAACCACTGCACCTGACCCGAGAGGGAGCCCTTTTAGTAACACTAGGATTGTGACCTACAGGACCAGGACATATGCCTCCCCTGATAAGCCAATCCTAGGGTAGCCCTGTGCAGTTTCAGGACCAATTTTCCTTCCAACAAGCTCTCAATGCTCTTCTCCACAGGCACATCAAGCTCCTGTGCTACTCCAAGCAAAGCAGACGCAGACTGTCCCCCGAAGGGCATCTGGCACGGGCAAAGATTCTCTGATGTCTCTTCAGATGTTTGCATAAGGATTTGCTTATGCAACTGAGAAAAGAGGAGAATCCTGTTTCTTCCTTATGTTCAATGACAGGAAGAGTGGGAGTTTGCTTGTGTGGAGATAAGCTCTGTGCTCTTGAGCTCACCTTGTAGGAGAAGGAATATGCCAGGAAGATCCACAGATGCTCTCTTATCCCTCCCTTTTCTTTCCAGGCTGGAAGTCCCTTCCAAGAACAGCGAGACTGCAATTCATAACCGTAAAGCAGGAACGTAAGGTGGGTTTGCATGTTAACAGCACGAATCAACACTAACCGGAGAAATTACGGGAAAAATGATGGGATGGTGCGTCCTGAGAAACGACGGTGCTTTGGGTTGAGTGAGCTGGTGAGTGAACACGAGGTGAACAGTGGATGTCGCTTTTTCGTTATCATTGGAAACATCTGATTGATCACAACAAGCTTTTCTTTTTTTTTTTTTTTCTTTTTTTGAGACTGAGTCTCCCTCTGTCACCAGGCTGGAGTGCAATGGCATGATCTCGGCTCACTGCAACCTCCACCTGCTGGGTTCAAGCGATTCTCCTGCCTCAGCCCCCCGAGTAGCTGGGGCTACAGGCGCCCGCCACCATGCCCAGCTAATTTTTTGTAGAGATGGGGTTTCACCATGTTGGTCAGGCTGGTCTCGAACTCCTGACCTCGTGATCCGTTCCCCGCCCCCACCCCCCCTTGGCCTCCCAAAATGCTGGGACTACAGGCGAGAGCCACCGTGCCTGGCCACAGGAAGCTTTTCTAAATTACATTTATGTGAGCTTCCCTGCAGGTCACTGTGATACATGAAGGGAACCCTAAAGGGTAAATATTTTTGTCTTTTCTTTTCCTCGTGATTTTTCTCCACTGGGAGACAGGAGTCAATACAAACATCAAAGGGCTATGTCGTCTATTTCATTAGGATAAAATAAGTTACCTGGAATTCTGCCAAGAGCTTTGGAGAAGGAAAGTTAACTACACCGGCGCGGTGGCTCACGCCTGTAATCCCAGCACTTTGGGAGGCCAAGCAAGGCAGGCGGATCACCTGAGGTCCAAGGTTCGAGACCAGCCTGGCAACATGGTGAAACTTGGTCTTTACTAAAAATACAAAAATTAGCCGGGCATGGTGGCAGGTGCCTGTAGTTCCAGCTGATCAGCAGGCTGAGGCAGGAGAATCACTTGAACCCAGGAGGCAGAGGTTGCAGTGAGCCAAGATCGTGCCACTACACTATTACAGCCTGGGCGACAGAGCAAAACTCCAAAATCACACGCACACACACAAAATGTAAAGAATAAGCTGGGTACAGGGGCTCATACCTGTAATCCCAGCACATTGGGAGGCCAAGGCAGGCAGATCACCTGAGGTCAGGAGTTCGAGACCAGCCTGGCCGACATGGTGAAACTTAGTCTTTACTAAAAATACAAAAATTAGCCGGGCATGGTGACGCATGCCTGTAGTTACAGCTGATCAGCAGGCTGAGGCAGGAGAATTGCTTGAACCCAGGAGGCAGAGGTTGCAGTGAGCTGAGATCCTGCCACTACACTATTCCAGTCTGGGTGACAGAGCAAGACTCCAAAATAACATGCATACACACACACAAAATTTAAAGAATAGGCTGGGTGCAGGGGCTCAGGCCTGTAATCCCAGCATGTTGGGAGGCCGAGGTAGGCAGATCACCTGAGGTCAGGAGTTCGACACCAGCCTGGCCAACATGGTGAAACTCTGTCTCTACTAAAAATACAAAAAGTAGCCAAGCATGGTGGCGCACGCCTGTAATCCCAACTAATCAGGAGGCTGAGGCAGGAGAATCACTTGAACCCAGGAGGCAGAGGTTGCAGTGAGCCAAGATCGTGCCACTGCACTATTCCAGCCTGGGTGACAGAGCAAGACTCCAACTCACACACACACACACACAAGAAAAATTTAAAGAATAGGCCAGATGCAGTAGATCATGCCTGTAATCCCAGAACTTTGGGAGGCTGAGGCGGGCAGATCACCTGAGGTCAGGAGTTCAAGACCAGCCCGGCCAACATGGTGAAACCCTGTCTTTACTAAAAATATAAAAATTAGCCAGACATGGTGGCACACGCCTGTAGTCCCAGCTAATCAGGAGATTGAGGCAGGAGAATCGCTTGAACCCAGGAGGCAGAGGTTGCAGTGAGCCAAGATCGTGCCACTGCACTATTCCAGCCTGGGTGACAGAGCAAGACTCCAACTCACACACACACACACACACACACACACACAAGAAAAATTTAAAGAATAGGCCAGATGCAGTGGCTCATGCCTGTAATCCCAGCACTTTGGGAGGCCGAGGCATGCAGATCACCTGAGGTCCAGAGTTTGAGACCAGTCTGGCCAACATGGTGAAACTCTGTCTTTACTAAAAATACAAAAATTAGCCAGGCATGGTGATGTATGCCTGTAGTTCCAGCTAATCAGGAGGCTGAGGCAGGAGAATCGCTTGACCCCAGGAGACGGAGGTTGCAATGACCAAAGATCACACCACTGAACTACTCCAGCCTGGGCGACAGAGTGAGACTCCAACTCTCACACACAGACACACATACAATTTAAAGAATAGGCCAAGTGCAGTGGCTCATGCCCATAATCCCAGCAGTTTCAGAGGCCAAGGAGGGTGGATCACTTGAGCCCAGGAGTTCGAGACCAGCCTGGGCAACATAGTGAGACCCCTGTCTCTACAGAAAATATAAAAATTACCTAGGCATGGTGTTGCACACTTGTGGTCCCAGCTACTTGGGAGGCTGAGACAGGATGATCACTTGGGCCCAGGAGGTGGAAACAGCAGTGAGCCAAGATCGCACCACTGCATTTCAGCCTGGGCCACAGAGAGATCCTGTCACACACACACACACACACACACACACACACACACACACACAAACCCAAATTAAAAAATACAATTCTGGCCAGTCACGGGGGCTCATGCCTGTAATCCCAGCACTTTGGGAGGCCGAGGCGGGCGGATCACCTGAGGTCAGGAGTTTGAGACCAGCCTGGCCAAGATGGTGAAACCCCCTCTCTACTAAAAATACAAAAATTAGCCAGGCGAGGTGGTGCGTGCCTGTAACCCCAGTGGCTGGGCACGGTGGCTCCTGCCTGTAATCCCAGCACTTTGGGAGGCCAATCACTTTGGAGGGGGCGGATCACAAGTTCAGGAGTTCGAGACCAGCTTGGCCAATATGGTGAAACCCTATCTCTACTAAAAATACAAAAATTAGCCAGGCGAGGTGGGGCGTGCCTGTAATCCCAGCTACTCGGGAGGCTGAGGCAGAAGAATCACTTGAACCCGGGACACGGAGGTTGCAGTGAGCCGAGATCGTGCCACTGCACTCCAGCCTAGGCAACAAAGAGAGACTCCATCTCAAAAAAAAAAAAAAAAAAAAAAAATACACTTCTCACGTTTCCAACGGACTGAATGGGTCCCCTGTTGGCCAAGGGGTTCTCAAAGCAACCTGAGAAGCTAGTTCAGGCCATGACAGGAAATGGGGGTTGGACCTGCCTCCCTTGGAAGTTTAGGCACCACTGACCAGCATTAACATTTAAAACAGAGAGTTTAAGATGGACCAGACTTTTTGTGCAATGAGATCCCAAACTCCGATTTGACTCTGGTAGAGCGTTACATGACAGATAGCAGGCCTTGAAGGAATCAAAGTATTTGACCCCAATGGCCCTGCAAAGCCATTTCTTCTGTAGAGATGTACAAGGTCCTTTCTGGAGATTCTGACAGCTGTTAACGCCCAATAGGACAAGTTCACCATCCATTCCCTCTGTAGCCTGCTATCTGGAGGCTTCATCTACATAACAAAAACCTTGGCTTCTGCAGCCCCCTTTCTCTAAACCCAAGCATTTCTCTCCCGTGATTTCAAACTTTGCAGGCAGAGCTTGACCCTTTCAAGCACTTGCCAATCAAGAAGTCATTTCTTCTTTTTTTTTTTTGGAGACAGAGTCTAACTCTGTCACCAAGGCTGGAGTGCAGTGGGGCAATCTTGGCTCACTGCAACCTCCACCTCCCAGGTTCAAGTGATTCTCATGCCTCAGCCTCCCAAGTAACTGGGATTACAAGCATGTACCACCATACCCAGCTAATTTTGTTTTTGCATTTTTAGTAGAGACAGAGTTTTGCTATGTTGTCCAGGCTGGTCTCAAACTCCTGGCCTCAACTGTTCCACCTGACTTGGCCTCCCAAAGTGCTGGGATTACAGGTGTGAACCACCATTCCTGGCCTAAGAAATCTTTAAATTCACCTATGACCTGGAAGCCTGTCCCCTCTTTTTGAGCTAAACCAATGTGTCCCTTCCATGTGCTGATTTATGTGTCTGCCTGTAACTTCTGTCTCCCTAAAAGGTATAAAACTAAGCTGTAGGCTGGGCACAGTGGCTCACGCCTGTAATCCCAGCACTTTGGGTGGCTGAGGCGGGCGGATCACAAGGTCAAGAGATTGAGACCATCCTGGCTAACACAGTGAAACCCTGTCTCTACTAAAAATACAAAAATTAGCCAGGTGAGCTGGCGGGCACCTGTAGTCCCAGCTACTCAGGAGGCTGAGGCAGAAGAATGGTGTGAACCCAGAAGGCGGAGGTTGCAGCAACCCAAGATCGCACCACTGCACTCCAGCATGGGCGACAGAGCAGGACTCCGTCTCAAAAAAAAAAAAAAAAACAAAAAACAAACAAAAACAAAAACAAAAACAAAAAAACAAACTAAGCTGTAACCCAACCATGTTGGGCCCATGTTCTCAGAACCTTCTAAGGCTGTGTCATGGACCATGGTCCTTAATCAATGTAGAGGTTTATTTTGCCAAGGTTAAGACCTGTCTCAGAGGCCTTTTGGTTTGCAAATACATGCAAGTTATACATCTGTTTAAATCTAAAATGGTGAGATGTCTTGAAGTGAGGGCTTATGGGTCATAGGTAGATTCAAAGATGTTTCTGATTTGTAATTGGTTAAGGAAGGGAAGACTTATTTAGAAATCTGGGGTCAGCAGAACTAAAATGTTAACTGGCTTGTGGGGTGACTCTCTGCAGGACCCTCAGGAAGAAATTTATTTTTTTTATTTTTATTTTTTGAGATGGAGTCTCACTCTGTCACCCAGGCTGGAGTGCCGTGGCACGATCTCGGCTCACTGCAAGCTCTGCCTCCCGGGTTCACGCCATTCTCCTGCCTCAGCCTCCCGAGTAGCTGGGACTACAGGCACCTGCCACCACGCCTGGCTAATTTTTTTGTATTTTTAGTAGAGACGGGGTTTCACCGTGTTAGCCAGGATGGTCTCGATCTCCTGACCTCGTGATCCGCCTGCCTCGGCCTCCCAAAGTGCTGGGATGACAGGTGTGAGCCACCGTGCCCGTCCTCAGGAAGAAATTTAGAACAAAGCATGATGGCCAAAGCTCAGAGTTCCCACTCCCCTTGTCTTGGGTCTAAGTGCCAGTGCCACCCCCAATTCTTGTGCCTGCTTTTCCCAGCTCCGTGGGGGCCCCAAGTTCAGAGTCAGGTTTATGAGGGATGCTTCAACCTTCTGCTGTAGGAGAAACTGTAGACCCAGACACGGAGCCTGGAGGTTCAGCCCGAGTCCTGGTCACCAAGTTTTGTCCTCAATCTTTCTATAAACCATGGCTCTGAGGTGGAGCAGAGACCCTTCTTTTTAGGGGCCTGCAGAACTCACGTGTGAAAATAAAGGAAAATCTTGAGTTTCTACATGGAAAATTCCAGGTATCTAGCTAGCCTCAGATATAAAGAAGTAACTTGATAAACAAGAAGGTAATAGGCCAGGCAGGGTGGCTCATGCCTGTAATCCCAGCACTTTGGGAGGTTGAGATGGAAGGATCACTGGAGGCCAGGAGTTTGAGACCAGCCTGGGCAACATATAGGGAAACTCTGTCTCTACAAAAATTTTAAAAATTTAGCCAGGCATGGTGGCTCATGCCTATGGTCCCAGCTACTTGAGAGGCTGAGGTGGGAGGATTGCTTGAGCCCAGGAGTTTGAGGCTGCAGTTAGCTATGATTGTACTCACTGCACTCCGGCCTGGGTGACAGAGCAAGACCTTCTCTGAAAAAGAGGAGTGGGGAGGAGGGAGAAGGAGGAGAAAGAGGAGGAGGAGGAGGAGGAGAAAGCGGAGGAGGAGGAGGGAGAAAGCGGAGGAGGGAGAAAGCGGAGGAGGGAGAAAGCGGAGGAGGGAGAAAGCGGAGGAGGGAGAAAGCGGAGGAGGGAGAAAGCGGAGGAGGGAGAAAGCGGAGGAGGGAGAAAGCGGAGGAGGGAGAAAGCGGAGGAGGGAGAAAGCGGAGGAGGGAGAAAGCGGAGGAGGGAGAAAGAGGAGGAGGGAGAAAGGAGGAGGGAGAAAGAGGAGGAGGGAGAAAGAGGAGGAGGGAGGAGGAGGAAGAGGAGGAGGAAGAGGGAGAGAAGAGGAGGGAGAGAAGAGGAGGGAGAGAAAGAGGAGGGAGAGAAAGAGGAGGGAGAGAAAGAGGAGGAGGAGGGGGAGGGGGGAAGGAGGGGGAGGGGGGAAGGAGGGGGAAGGAAGAGGAAGTGGAGGGAGAAGAGGAGGGGGAGACGAAGGAGGAGGGAGAAGAGGAGGACGAGGAAGGAGGAGAAAGAGGAGGAGGAGAAAGAGGAGGAGGGAGAAGAGGAGGAGGGAGAAAGAGGAGGGAGAAAGAGGAGGGAGAAAGAGGAGAACGAGGAGGAGGAGCAGAAAGAGAAGGAGGGAGGAGAGGAGGGAGAAGAGGGAGAAGGAGAAACAGGATAAGAAGAAAGGAGGAGGAGGGAAAAGAGTGGGGGAAAGGAAGAGAAAGTGGAGGAGGAAGAAGAGGAGAAGAGGAGGAGGAAGAGGAAGAGGAGGAGGAGGAGGAGGGGGAGGAGGAGGAGGGGGAGGGGGAGGAGGGGGAGAAGAGGAGGAGGAGAACGATGAGGATGAAGGGGAGGAGGAAGGAGGAGGAGGAGGGAAGGGAAGGAGGGGGAGGAGGGAAGGGAAGGAGGGGGAGGAGGAGGAGAAGTGGAGGGAGAAGAGAAGGGGGAGAAAGAGGAACAGGAAGACAGGAAGAGAAGAAGGAGGGGGAAAGAAGGAGGAGGAGAAGAAAAAGGAGAAAACCAAACCACAGCATGCCCTGAGAAGGCAGAACATTCCATGAAGCTCTGAAGAAGTTAGCAAATGCTGCCTGAGAACGGATGTGCTCTCTCGGTTTTAACGGCTCCAGCATTAACTCAGTCAGGAAAGACAGAGCTCGGGGAAAGTTAAGTGTGACCTTATTCAGATGTGAAGAATTAGGCCAGGGGCAGTGGCTCACCCCTATACTCCTAGCAGTTTGGGAGGTCGAGGCAGGTAGATCACTTGAGGTCATGAGTTCGAGACCAGCCTGACCAACATGGTGAAACCCTGTCTCTACTAAAAATACAAAAATTACCTGGGCGTGGTGGCACATGCCTGTAATCCCAGCTACTCTGGAGGCTGAGGCAGGACAATCGCTTGAACCCAGGAGGCAGAGGTTGCAGTGAGCCGAGATCGCACCATTACACTCCAGCCTGGGCAACGAGAGCGAAACTCCATCTCAAAAAAAAAAAAGAAAGAAAAAGAAAAAAAGGCATGAAAAACTAGTGTTAGCAGGATCATAAACTTCCCGAGTGGTGATAACAGACAGACCCTGCAGAGAAGTTGCCAAGCCTCATCCTACTCACCCACCGCTCATCTCCAGCCTGAGAAGCTCAAGATTGAACTCTCCAGTCTGAGGACTGAGAAGAAAACATGGCAAGAAATGATCTGGCTGCAGAAGGTCCCTGTCCGAGACTTCAAATACCGATCCTGGAGAATGTGCTTCAGGTCTCGAAGCACCCGCTTCTCTTCAATTCTACTTTCTGACCATTTGGTGCAAAAAGCTGGCCAGGTTTGGCTTTTGCAAAAGACGCATTTGCCACAACCAGAGATTCGTACCTGCGGCACGCTCACCTTGCTGTTCCCTGAGGATGTCTCACATGAGGCAACGGGTCGGTGGGTGGTTTGCTGGATCACGTGCAAACCCAGGCAAAGAGGATCTGCTATTGCAGACTTCATTTCTGCAGCCTTGGAAAGCCGTCTCAGGCCGGGCGCGGTGGCTCACGCCTGTAATCCCAGCACTTTGGGGGGCTGAGGCGGGTGGATCACGAGGTCAGAAGTTCAAGACCAGACTGCTCAACATGGTGAAACCCCATCTCTACTAAAAATACAAAAAAAAAAAAATTAGCCGGGTGTGGTCGTGGGCGCCTGTAATCCCAGCTACTCGGGAGGCTGAGGGCAGGAGAATCGCTTGAACCCAGGAGACGGAGGTTGCAGTGAGCCAAGATGACCAATGCACTCCAGCCTGGGCGACAAAGCAAGACTCTGTCTCAAAAATAAATAAATAAATAAAGGAAAGCCATCTCAAATCTGCCTCTCGGAGGCTCACAGACAGACGCGAGCCGGTTTCTGTGCTATGAACGCTGACAGTTCGTCTTCACAGTCCAGACCCATCTACTTCACCCGTCCTTCAGAACCATGTCATCTCTGTGACTCAACTTATACATGAGTGGGCAGACTGCTCCTTGCTTCAGCCCAGGAGGCTCAATGCCCTCTCTTGGCTTGAAGGGAATGACAGAGAATCTCCCCCACTCCTTTTTTTTTTTTTTGAGTTAGAGTCTCACTCTCTCACCCAGGCTGCAGTGCAGTGGTGCCATCTTGACTCACTGCAACCTCCACCTCCTGGGTTCAAGTAATTCTCCTGCCTCAGCCTCCCGAGTCGCTGGGACTACAGTCACCCGCCACCAAGCCTGGCAAAGTTTTGTAATTTTAGTAGAGACGGGGTTTCACCATATTGGCCAGGCTGATCTCGAACCCCTGACCCTCAGGTGATCGGCCTGCCTCAGCCTCCCAAAGTGCTGGGATTACAGGAGTGAACCACGGCGCCCGGCCCCCTCTCCTTTTTTTCTTCAATGCCGAGAGCAGCAGCTTAGTAGACGGGTGAGGCACAGACCTTTGCTGAGTGGGCTAAAAAACAGGATGCATCTGGCTGGGCATGGTGGCTCACACCTGCAATCCCAGCACTTTGGGGGGTTGAGGCAGGCAGATTACCTGAGGTCAGGTGTTCCAGACCAGGGCCAACATGGTGAAACCCCGTCTCTACTAAAAGTACAAAAATTAGGCGGGCATGGTGGCATGCACCTGTAATCCCAGCTACTCAGGAGGCTGAGGCAGGAGAATCGCTTGAACCCAGGAGGCGGAGGTTGCAGTGAGCCGAGATTGCACCACTGCACTCCAGCCTGGGCGACAGAGCGAGACTCCAACTTAAAAAAATAAATAAAGAAAAACAGGATGCATCCAGCTTGTCTCACACACTCTACCCTGGGTTTATATTTATTTTCCACGAGGAAACATCCAAAATCAGGGGTCAGAGTCAAGGTTCCCCACCTTGTCCATGACGAGATGGGCCAGTCCACATCACAGGCACAGGTAGGAGACCCCAACACAGTGTCCACTGTTCACATTCTAAAGGTGACTGTCGGCCAGGCACGGTGGTTCACGTCTGTCATCCCAGCAATTTGGGAGGCCGAGGCGAGCAGATCATCCAAGGTCAGGAGTTCGAGACCAGCCTGGCCAACACGGTGAAACCCCATCTCTACTAAAAATACAAAAAATTAGCCAGGCGTGGTGGCACATGTCTGTAATCCCAGCACTTTGGGAGGCCGAGGCAGGCAGATCACGAGGTCAGGAGATTGAGACCATCCTGGCTAACATGGTGAAACCCCATGGCTAAAAATACAAAAAATTAGCCAGGTGTGGTGGCGGGCGCCTGTAGTCCCAGCTACTGGGGAGGCTGAGGCAGGAGAATGGCGAGAACACGGGAGGTGGAGCTTGCAGTGAGCCGAGATTGAGGCACTGAACTCCAGCCTGGGAGACAGCGAGACTCCGTCTCAAAAAAAAAAAAAAAAAAAAAAAAGAGTTGGAGACCAGCCTCACCAACATGGCGAACCCCGTCCCTACTAAAAATACAAAAATTAGCTGGGCATGGTGATGGGCGCCTATAATCCCAGCTACTCAGGAGGCTGAGGCAGGAGAATCCCTTGAACCTGGGAAGTGGAGGTTGCAGTGAGCCGAGATGCCGCCACTGCACTCCAGCCTGGGTGACAGTTTAAGACTCAGTCTCAAAAAATAATAATACTAATGAATACATAAATAAAAAATAAAGGTGACTGTCGGACCTCATCCCACCGCCAAAATGCACCTGCTGTGTCTAGTGTGCCTATTAGAGAGAAGAGGAGGCACTAGTGATTTCCATCTGGAACCTGCGGCATGTACAACCTCAACTTTCTGTCTACGCTGTGATGTGCGCCCTCAGAAGACTCCATCTCTGCACCTGACACGCAAATACCCAGGAGAGAGGGGGCAGATGAATAGCCACCGTCTTCTGTAGTTTATAAAAATGCTAGTTGTTCGCTTGAGGTCAGGAGTTCGAGACCAGCCTGGCCAACATGGTGAAACCCCGTCTCTACTAAAAATACAAAAATTAGGCTGGGTGTGGTGGGGGCACCTGTCATCCCAGCTACTCAGGACGGTGAGGCAGGAAAGTCGCTTGGACCCGGGAGGTGGAGGTTGCAGTGAGCCAAGATCACACCACTGCACTCCAGCCGGGTGATAGAGTGAGACTCCGTCACAAAAACAAAGAAACAAACCAACAACAACAACAACAAAACTCTAGTTGTGATATTTAGGGCCCATCTAAACAATCCAGGATGATCTCATGTTGAGAGGCTTAATTGTGACAGCAAAGACCCTTTTTTTTTTTTTTTTTTTTTTTTTTTTTTTTTTTTGAAATGGAGTCTTGCTCTGTCACCAGGCTGGAGTGCAGTGGCCTGATCTCGGCTCACTGCAACTTCCGCCTCCTGGGTTCAAGCAATTCTCTTGCCTCAGCCTCCCAAGTTGCTGGGATAACAGGCATGCACCACCGTGCCCGGCTAATTTTTGTATTTTTAGTAGAGACAGGGTTTCACCATGTGGGCCAGGCTGGTCTCAAACTCCTGACCTCGTGATCCACCCACCTCGGCCTCCCAAAGTGCTGGGATTACAAGCGTGAGCCACCGCACCCGGCCGACCCTTTTTTTTTTTTTTAAATAAAGTCACCTTCCCAGGTTTTAGGGAGAAGGGCACGGACTTATCTTTTGGGAGATGCCATTTAAAGCACTATGGTTGTTATCAGGCAGGTTCTTCAGAGGGGAGAAGAAACTGGATATTCCCGTGCCTCAGAGGAGCTAGGGGCCTGATATCAAAAGAGTAACAGAAAGTTAGCAGGCTCCAGCAGAAAGGAAGCACAGACATATCTACCCCAGCCAGCCCCTAAGACTGCGCTAAAAAACCAGGCTACATGCTTTCAGACCGTTTTGTTTGCAAGACAGAGCCTTGCTTTGTCGCCCAGGCTGGAGTGCAATGGCGTGATCTCAGCTCACTGCAACCTCCGGCTTCCAGGTTCAAACGATTTCTCCTGCCTCAGCTTCCCAAGTAGATGGGACTACAGGCATGCGTCACCGCACCAGGCTAATTTTTTCTTATTTCAGTAGAGACAGGGTTCCACTATGTTGTCCAGGCTGGTCTCGAACTCCTGACCTCAAGTGATCCACCCACCTAGGCCTCCCAAAGTGCTGGGATGACAGGTGTGAGCCACTGCGCCTGGCCTCCAGGGGGTTGTTTATTTTTATTATTACTATTATACTTTAAGTTCTGGGGTACATGTGCAGAACGTGCAGGTTTGTTACATAGGTATGCACGTGCCACAGTGGTTTGCTGCACCCATCAACCCATCATCTACATTAGGTATTTCTCCTAATGCTATACCTCCCCTAGCCCCTCACCCCCTGACAGGCCCCGGTGTGTGCTGTTCCCCTCCCTGTGTCCATGTGTTCTCATTGTTCAACTCCCACCTATGAGTGAGAACATGTGGTGTTTGGGTTTCTGTTCTTGTGTGAGTTTGCTGAGAATGATGGTTTCCAGCTTCATCCATGTCCCTGCAAAGGACATGAACTCGTCCTTTTTTATGGCTGCATAGTATTCCATGGTGTGTATGTGCCACATTTTCTTAATCCAGTCTATCATTGATGGGCATTTGGGTTGGTTCCAAGTCTTTGCTGTTGTCAACAGTGCCACGAGGGCGTCTTTTAAAGCCTGATGCTGACCGGTAGATTCCGGCGCTGTTGACCACTTCTGCCCCAAAGTGCCTACCCTGGAGACAGAGAGAGAAGACAGCGTGGGGCTGCAGGTGCACAGCCAGTGTACCTGCTCCTCTCTTGGATGTGCAAGATCTCCCCATGCAAACACTGAAGCAAGATTTTACTCTCCCAGCCCTCTTCTTCCCCACGCTGGCAAAGTGCTGAATTTTGGGGGTGTTCACCCAGACCTGGGTGCCTTCAACAGCCCCAAAACGTGAAAGCACATCAGACTAAAACACGCGTGGAAATGTGATTGTCTGCAGAAATTAGTTTAGGGAAGGATAGTGTGTTACAAGCAATGTCTGTGTTCTTTACCCCTGCAAAATAGGAATGAGACAGCTTTTGGAATAGGGTCTATGAAGATATCCTTCTTTTTTTTTTTTTTTTCAGATGGAGTCTCACTCTGTCACCCAGGCTGGAGTACAGTGGCGCAATGTCGGCTCAGCGCAACCTCCGCCTCCCGGGTTGAAGCGATTCTCCTGCCTCAGCCTCCCAAGTTGCTGGGACTATAGGCCCACGCCACCACGCCCAGCTAATTTTTATATTTTTAGTAGAGACGGTTTCACCATGTTGGCCAGGCTGGTCTCGATTCTTGACCTCGTGATACGTCTGCTTCAGCCTCCCAAAGTACTGGGATTACAGGCATGAGCCACCACGCCCAGCCATGCCCAGCTAAATTTTTGTATTTTTAGTAGAGATGGGGTTTCACCATGTTGACCAGGCTGGTCTCGATCTCTTGACCTCATGATCCATCTGCCTCAGCCTCCTCAAGTGCTGAGAATACAGTCGTGAGCCACTGCGCCCGGCCGGATGTCATTCTTTTGTTTCTGTCACTTGAGGAACTGATGCTTCCATACTTTTTTTGGGAATTGCACAGAGCCCTAAGTCTCCCTCTTTCTCTGTTATTAAGATTAGGAGTTGCTTGGCCAGGCATGGTGGCTCACGCCTGTAATCCCAGCACTTTGGGAGGCCAAGGCGGGTGGATCACGAGGTCAGGAGATCGAGACCATCCTGCCTAACACGGTGAAACCCCGTCTCTTCTAAAAATACAAAAAAAATTAGCTGGGCGTGGTGGCAGGTGCCTGTAGTCCCATCTACTTGGGAGGCTGAGGCAGGAGAATCACTTGAAACCGGTAGGCGGAGGTTGCAGTGAGCTGAGATCACACCACTGCACTCCAGCCTGGGCAACAGAGCAAGACTCAGTCTTTAAAATAAAATAAAAATTAACTGAGCCCTGTCTCAGATTTTCTGGGTTCACATTTGGCTGTCTGAATTCTCTCCATTTCTGATGATGTCAGCCTTTGTTTCTGCTTTACTTTAAAAGGCATTTTCACTGGTATGTTATTCCAGGCAGACAGATTTTGTTTGTTGATTGTTGGTTTACCTTTCAGCACTTAAAACAGATCACTCTCTGAATTCTGGTTTGCATGACTTCTAAACAAGAAGACTGTTGGCATTTGTATTTTTTGTTTGTTTGTTTGTTTGTTTTTTGAGACAGAGCCTCACTCTGTTGCCCAGGCTGGAGTGCAATGATGCAATCTCGGCTGACTGCAACCTCTGCCTACCAGGTTCAAGCAATTCCCCACCTCAGCCTCTCGAGTAGCTGGGACTATATGTGTCACCACCATGCCTGGCTAATTTTTGTATTTTTAGGAGAGACAGGGTTTCACCATATTGGCCAGGCTGGTCTCGAACTCCAGACCTCAGGTGATCCACCCACCTCGGCCTCCCAAAGTGCTGGGATTACAGGCGCCTGTAGTCCCAGCTACTTGGGAGGCTGAGGCAGGAGAATCATTTGAACCTGGGAGGCAGAGGTTGTGTGAGCTGAGGTCCTGCCACTGCACTCCAGCCTGGGCGACTGAACGAAACTTTGTCTCAAAAAAAAAAAAAAAAAAAAAAAAAAAAAAGTTATGCGTGCATTTCCCACATACCTGGGATATTCACATACTTGGAAGACAATGGAAGTGTCTCATCCCTCAGACTGAGCTGCCTGGAAGGAAGACACCCTCTCTTTCGGAGCCTCCAGGATCCCTAAGTGACCTGTCTGAGCTCAACTTCCCTAGAAGTGATATCCGACGTGCACCTGCCAGATCCCCGGGGAAACCTGGAGAAAGCACGGCCCCTCCTCCCCAGGCTGCCCCAGTTTGGGGAAGAAGGTTGAGTCATGGCTCTGTCCTATTAGTCATGGGCTGTCTGCTCTAATGAGAAATCAGTTCACCATCCAGGCTTCTCTGCTGAAGCGGCATCCACCAGCCCAGGGAAATTCCGACGAGGAGGGGATAGCCGGGAGCCATTAGCAGCCAGGACTCACAGCAGCTGGGACTTGCTATGAGTCCATCACATGGCTGGGGCACCAACACAACATCCTACTGAAGCCTCATGTGTGAGGACGAAGCTCTGATTTTTTTTTTTTTTAATCTTGCCTAAATTCCTATCTAAGGGGTCTGGGGGGGAGTCATGTCATACAAACCATAATACATTCTCATCAGATGGGTTTTATTTAACCCCGTAGATCGTGACTTACTTTCCCATCTGACTCTGGCATGGCAAGGAAGAAAATCAAAATATTTTACCCCCAAAACACATTTCTCTGCCATATTTTTTTTTATACTTTAAGTTTTAGGGTACATGTGTACAACGTGCAGGTTAGTTACATATTGTATACATGTGCCATGTTGGTGTGCTGCACCCATTAAGTGGTCATTTAGCATTAGGTTTATCTCCTAATGCTATCCCTCCCCCCTCCTCCCACCCCACAACAGGCCCCGGTGTGTGATGTTCCCCTTCCTGTGTCCAAGTGTTCTCATTGTTCAATTCCCATCTATGAGTGAGAACATGTGGTGTTTGGTTTTTTGTCCTTGCGATAGTTTGCTGACAAAGATGGTTTCCAGCTTCATCCATGTCCCTACAAAGGACATGAACTCATCATTTTTTATGGCTGTATAGTATTCCATGGTGTATATGTGCCACATTTTCTTAATCCAGTCTATCATTGTTGGACATTTGGGTTGGTTCCAAGTCTTTGCTATTGTGAATAGTGCCACAATAAACATACAAAGGACATGAACAGACACTTCTCAAAAGAAGACATCTATGCAGCCAAAAGACACATGAAAAAATGCTCATCATTGCTGGCCATCAGAGAAATGCAAACCAAAACCACAATGAGATACCATCTCACACCAGTTAGAATGGCAATCATTAAAAAGTCAGGAAACAACAGGTGCTGGAGAGGATGTGGAGAAATAGGAACACTTTTACACTGTTGGTGGGACTGTAAACTAGTTCAACCATTGTGGAAGTCAGTGTGGTGATTCCTCAGGGATCTAGAACTAGAAATACCATTTGACCCAGCCATCCCATTACTGGTTATATACCCAAAGGATTATAAATCATGCTCCTATAAAGACACATGCATACGTATGTTTATAAACATAAACTCACACCCTCAGCTCTCCTGGGTCTCAGGACTTCAGACTCAGACTGGAACTCACACCATTGGCTCTCCTGGGTCTCAGGCCTTCTGACTCACACTAGAATTCACACCTTCAGACTCAGACTGGAGCTGACACCCTCAGCTCTC